>NC_000002.12:50493382-50796412 GCF_000001405.40 Homo sapiens
GTCCCAGCTTGGTTTCAATGCCCCACTACAGCTCCACAGCACCTAAAAGTGCTGTCCTTCTCTGTCCTATAAGTGCTCCCTCAACGCCAGTGTTCTCATAGAGACGGAGAGCTTTGCATTGCAGAAACCCTGTTGTCCTCTTTCCAAAGTCAATGCTCCATAAATACTCATGCTCTGGCCAATGCCCACAGCCACCCTTACCCAAAGTGGTGATGATGGGAGACAAGACACATCAGGCCCCACAGCAGGCTGTTCTCAAACTCCCTCTAGCTGATGGTGCACATGATAAGAGGCACCGTGGGATGACTGTTGCCATCGGATCACATACCCAATTTGTTAGCTCAAACTTGGACTAATTTTAGAAACTTGCTCTTACTTTTCTGCAATGCAGAAGGTATTATTCTATACTAATGATTAGCCCCTTCACATGGGAAATTCACAAACAATTTTAATTGTGCTTTTTAAAAAAACACAAGTACACTGAGAGTTCATTACTATATATCTTAATACTATGTAATATGCCATTTTTAAGTTCATACTTACAGTGTTTTTTCTTTATTATGGGCAAAGCCTGTTTTATCTTCAGAGTTATCCATCACTTAATGCTTTAATAAAAATAAACTCTGAAGTACTTAGGTGTGTAAGTACCCCCACCAGAAAGAATCCTAGTCTACAATCTCCTATTACCTTCACTTCCATTTGTTAATGAAAAATAAGCAGATATTTACTTCTCAGGAGACAGTGTCCTAACTATCTGAAGAAATACAATCCATTGTCTCACACGGCTTCTCTGGACCCTCAATGTGTAGGGCTGTACATGCCACATACTTCAACCAATTATAAACTGCTTTTTTTTTAGCCATTTTAATTTCCAACAGAGTATCCCTAATTTCCAGTGAAGTTCACTTATACTTACTGACGTCTCACCTACACAAACAGGGCACTTTTTGCTTTAGCTTTGGTGACTCGATCAGCACACTGGATTTTACAATCTCTCCCTTTCTTTTGACAATTACCACCTGAGCCCACTGTGCAAAACAGGGGGCCATGAAAAATACAGAAGAAAAAGCTCTTCAATCAGAGGGAATAAAGAGAAAGAGGTTTGGCCTGTAAGAAGCAGTTCTTTGAATTTCATTTTATTTTTTGAGCCAAGCTATTAGATTTGTGGGTACAAATAAGATCTCTTTGAAGTTAGCAAGAAGCCCACTGTGAAAGAAGGGAGACGGCCATTACCACACATTTTATATGTTGAGCAAATAAAGTCCCAGGATTCAAAATATATTCTGCAATTACAGAAAGCAAAACACTTTTCTTTCTCCTTTCACCTTGTTTAGAAAGAGCATTTTTCTCTAGAAAGAGTTCTGTTGAGGCTGGGTGCAGTGGCTCACACCTGTAATCCTAGCATTTTGGGAGGCTGAGGCAGGCGGATCACCTGAGGTCAGGAGTTCAAGAGCAGCCTGACCAACACGGCAAAAACCTGTCTCTACTAAAACACAAAATTAGCCGGGCGTGGTGGCGGGTGCCTGTAATCCCAGCTACTTGGGAGGCTGAGGCAGGAGAATTGCTTGAACCTAAGAGGCAGAGACTGAAGTGA
The DNA here is from genome assembly GCF_000001405.40 of Homo sapiens. Lineage (NCBI taxonomy): Eukaryota > Metazoa > Chordata > Mammalia > Primates > Hominidae > Homo > Homo sapiens. Next base: position 50,494,977 of record NC_000002.12, read on the forward strand.
GCCGAGATCGTGCCACTGCACTCCAGCCTGGGTGACGGAGCAAGACTCTGTCTCCAAAAAAAAAAAAAAAAAGAGAGTTAAATTTTCTCTTTCCAGTTTCCTAACTCCCCTCCTCCGATTTTCTACATTGAGAATAACAGGCTAATAATACTTTCTGGAATGCCTGTTGTAGTGTTAAATTAGATGGGATACACACATATATTCTTAGTGAATCACAAAATGTGATTCAAATAGAAACTTCAGTCATTTCTCTTCTATTATTGACATGTTTTCTCAGCATTTTGTCACGTGCATTTGAGAAATGAAGTATCAATAAGGAAGAGAAGCGTATGTTAAGACTTTCTTAGCAGCTGGTGAAAGAAGCATTCCGTGTGTGTGTGTGTGTGTGTGTGTGTGTGTGTGTGGTGTGTGTGTGTGTGTGTGTGTGTGTGTGTGTGTGTGTGTTGGGATGGGGGATAGAATTCACTGTTGGAGACACAGGGTTTCTAAGCCAGGCTCAAACTCCTGTTGGTCAGGGACTTAGGATCCAGGAAACCTTACCAAGGAAAGAAAACTAATAAGCTCTATAATAAGCTCCTATATATCTGGTTCCCTGACTCCAAATCAATTGAAAACTGTTGGGACTTAAGTAACTTACAAATGCCTTTTTAATATCAAGACCAATATTATATTTTTCTCACTTTTTACATTTTAATCATGCATGCTTCCTTAGGTGCTGCATTTTTTGAGCTGTTATTAAAAATACATAGGTTCCTACCACATTAAAGGGGAGCAGAGGCTTGTGTGTTGTATTGTTAATTATGTGCTGAAAATGAAATTCTGGTCAGTCTTTGCAGAAGGTACAAACACACCCCTAAGCAAAGGATTTTCCATGTGAAGGGAGACCGTGTGGTGCAAGGCTCGTTGCTCTGACTTAACATGCACTTACTCTTGAGGTCTAAGTTCCTGGCTCCGGCGGTGATTTGCGTTGTGATTTTTGTGTCAATCTTTACAGTGTGGAGGTTGCTGGTGTCCCTTGATATCATCACGTTGTGCCACTGATTGTCATTGAGAGGTTTATTTGAGCTTCCTTTGATGAGGTTAGCACCATTTCCCAAATCAAACACGTAATGTAAGTACCTGGGAAAAAAATGAAAGAGGGGAAAGTGCCATCACTTTTTAAATTTTGATGAACCTAAAGTAGATATTACAAATGGAGATTTTTTTTCAGGTGGTTCCATCCTTACTAGAAGTCATGACAATAAGTTACATAGAAACTCAGCTATCAAGAAGGTAACAAACACTATTCTGTTTCAGCAAAGAGGATTATTCAGTGTTTTAACTAAAGGAAACAGTGAAAATTATTTTTAAAATCATGGTCTACATTTAACTTTATGAATTTGGAAAGCAATATCTTTCACCACGCGCTCCCTGTTTCCACAATTCCCTCCATCCTTTTCTAACACTTAAAATGGCCATTCTTCTCGTTCTTGCACTTGCTTTTCTCCTCTATCTCGATTCCCTGTTTGAGGATAGGGAACGTGTACTCATCCTTCAACATCCAGGTCAGATAGCCACTCCCTGCTCCACATGTTTTTCTAATTTACCTGAAGAGTCTCCTGAGCCTTTGAATGTGATCACCTCAAGAAACATGTCACAGTGCTTTTCTTTTCTTTTCTGTTTATGTGTTCATCTACAAACCCTAGGATTGTATGTTGGTGTGTGTGGGTATGACTCACAGTGGTAGAAATCTGAGATGTGCATACGGGTGGCAGAAGTATATATATTTATATCCGTGCATGGCACCTGATGTAGCATATTGTAAATATACACCAATATTTGCAGAATGAGTGAATAAATGCTGAAATCAATTAAAATACATTAAATTTTCCTCACAGTTTTAAGGCACGTTTACACAAATCTTCCTTTCTAAATTCTCTAAGGCACTCTGACATAGAATGAAGTTTGAGTTAAAAGGGTTTTTTTGAAATTTAAACAATCTGAGTACTTGAATTAGCTATTTAATTTAGCATAGACTATCCTACAAACCTGTATCAATGCTTTTGTGGAATTACATTGTGCATAGTCAGGAAATGCCCATTTGAATTGTAACATTCATGAAATGCCTACCATAAATTAGAGCCCAATGTAATTTGTATCTCATATGTGAAAATGTAGGTGCAAAAAACTGTCCTAAATCCATATTAATTTAAGATACCTAAGAGATGATTTAAACAAATGCCTTCTTATTTGTCCTCCACCTGCTCCGGCCCACCACCTTATGAGCCAGTATGTTCTTCTTAGTGTATATTTTTGGAAATTGACGTCCATTTTTCCAAAGTTTTATTTATTTGCTATTGAACAGGCATGTACTCACCCTTTAACTAATTCAACCACAATAAAGTCATTTCCATCCCCACTGTTATATAGAATTAATCCATCTAGGGATGTTGTCTTGAACTGGAAAAAAAGATGCATAGAAGTGTAGGCTTGCAAGGTAGCTAAGGCAACATAGCTCGATTTGGTCTTGAAGGTGACAGGATCTGCTATGATGTTCCTGAAGCCAAATCTGGCATTAAGCTCACAGTAATCTATGTCGCCATTTTTACACAGGTCAATGTATGCCATTCCATTAAATGTCAAGCTCTGCAGGTGTCCAATGAAGTTGGAGGGGACAGAAGAAAGATACCGTCGTTCTGTGATGATGCCAGTCTCTATGTTATGGAACTCCAGCCTAGTATGATCACCTGCCATTTGACCTAAAAGAGAAGATAATATATGATTATTTTCTGTATCTGAAAGGCACTTTCAACTTTAGGCTTTCATAACAATATCACATTCTAAAATACAAGGAGCCAAATCCCTCCTTGGTACTCAGTTGCATATAGGAAGAACACTTAAATGATGCCAAAAGGTAAGCCTAGATTATATAATAAAACATTCTTAGGCCAGGTTATAATCCCTGTCCAAATTTTAGTCTTAACAAAAAATATCCTCATTAACAAAAGTAATGGTATCTTTTAAAGGCGAAAAATAAACAAATTAGCAAGAGAGTGAGCACATAGTAAAAGAAGGAGAGGGAGGAAAAAAGGAAAGAAGGGAGAGTGCACAGAGAGACGCATTAGGAGCAGTGACTATTCTCAGTCACCCAACTAGAAAGTGATACATCTCAGCCTCATGGATAGGTGATGTTATTCCTTATAAATGTTCTTCCAGGAAAAAAAAATGTGACTATATATTTTCCTATACCCAGTAGAAAGAGTGGAGAGTTGCAGCCCTTTCTTCCAGTAATGAAACATGAAAGTGTGTTTGAAGTTAAATATACACTATTCACTTTCCCTCTTCGTGCTCAATAATGACCATAGTTTTTGTTCATGCTAGTCTTCTAAATACATTAGAAATCCTGTTGATTTCTTCACCTATGCCTTTTTTTGTCCTTAAGTTTTCTATAACTAAATCAAGCAAAATACACTAATTGAAAGCTTGCCCAATTTTGATAATACCAGTAAAATTGGCCCACCATGCCCCATACCACAAGGCAAAAATCTTCTTTAAACATCCTAGGGTGAAGCTTGGATGCAAATTTATTTAGCAACTGACTATTCCACTCAGTCCTCATTTCTCTCTATCCCTGCATATTTCCCTGTCAAACCCATTAATAGCAAACTTAGTCCCATCTTTATCTCCAGAGTGATCATTTTACCTGTTTGCAAGGTTGAAGGTAAGATAAATAAGCAAAGATGTGAACTTGTTTTCTAAATATTAAAACACAACATAAATATAAGGTACTTGTATCAGTACCAGTGATTCACACCCAACATCTTGCTCTTGTCTAAATAAACTGTCAGTCACTCTCTTCTGCAACTAAAAATGCTCATTTATTTTGTAATCAAGTTCTTCCACGTGCTAGCTTCCCTGCCCGATTTGCCATAATTGGAAAATGTTTCAAGTTACCTCTTTCCATCATCCACATTATTAATGAAAATATTAATTAGAGCTAATCCCAGAATCAGCCCCTGAGAAAATGCATTGAACCTTTTCCCCAGGGGTAATGAAGACTGAACAACCACCTATGTGTGTCCCCTTTGGCCAGTTTGACAAATTTCCATTTCTTTAGTCAAGACAGTAAAATATTAGACAGTGTTTAAGGAAATATCTGTAAGTAAAATTTAGACGTCATGCTTTTTGTTGTGCAACAAAAACTGTTTATATGTTTGCTTAAGTGACTTTGATGATTATACATATATTTGTACACAAAACTCCCCTGAACTGTACTTAACCCTATTTCATTTTCAAACACTCTTTTTTAGTCTTGATCCTGGAAACAACATTCTACTCATCCTTGGCATGTTCTCTTTTCAGCCATTGGTTTGTTCTGATTCCCTTCCTGCAAACATTTTTAAAACAAAAATGTCACCATAAATAATTGTTTCGTCTCTCTCTACCCTCACTACCATGCCTCCTGATTGTCTATCTGATGCAAAAGTACTATTACATCCTTGTCAATTCTGGTTTCTCCTGTGACATCATTTCTATCTTCTCCCCCAGTTCTTCTTGTTCAATGACCTCAATATTGTTCTGTGGGGATCTACTTCTTTGGTAAAAAATAAAATTAATCCTTAATTATTTCCAAATATAAAGCTCTAAAGACACCAGCAACATTGAATTAAGAAGCTAAGTACAATGAAGAATATGAGAAGCTTAAAAATCGTCTAGATGCGGTGGCTCACGCCTGTAATCCCAGCATTTTGGGAGGCCTAGGGGGGCAGATCACCTGAGGTCAGGAGTTTGAGACCAGCCTGGCCAACATGGTGAAACTCTGTCTCTACTAAAAATACAAAAATTAACTGGGCGTGGTGGTGGGCGCCTGTAATCCCAGCTACTCGGGAGGCTGAGGCAGGAGAATCGCTTGAACCTGGGAGGCGGAGGTTGCAGTGAGCTGAGATTGCACCATTGCCCTCCAGCCTGGGCAACAGAGCAAGACTCCATCTCAAAAAAAAAAAAAAAAAAAGTCATATGGGCTTTGATATCCCTTTGGGTTGATTTTTATTCTATGCCACATTAAAATATGAGCCTTAACTCAGTGACCCCTACCCTGATCCTGAAACTGTCATGTTTCATCTTAAAGTCTCTATTGATGAAACAACCAATAGTAAAAAAATTCTGAAAAAAATATTTCTAACACTTGAAATTAAATATTACCTCCAGTTGTCAAGTTCTTACCAGCTCTAAAAGAGGAAAGACCAGTTAATTCCAGACTAAGGAGTTCAGTAATAAAAATAAGACAGTATATCTGTTTTCCTCTCTCAAAGGAATAGAATATGCACACAGAGCATAAATAATAAAAAGGTAGTACAACAGCATTGAAGCAACTATGGCCCAGTTACAAGATAAAAAAAAAATATAATTACAGTGATGGTAGATATATTTGTTCACTGGGGAGAATTAGCCCCCAAAAGCCATTATTTGATGACTAAGAAAATATTAACTGATTGTTGCCTTCTTTAAAAAATTATTTTTTCTCAGAATTTTACTCCAATGTTTAATCCTCATCAGTAATACAGCCACTTCTACTACTGTAGATATTTGTTGATTAAATAAGAAAAAATTATAAGACTTCGAAGGGGAAAGATTTTTAATGTTCTAATGATTTAAAAATGCACCATCCAAGGAAAATTTGGAATAAGCAAAATGCCTCTGATCACAATATTTAAGGTATAACAGATTGACAATAATCTCCAACAAGACAACAACCAAAACATGTTTCCTAGATGCTGTGTTTGTATAGAAATCTCAATATTTCCAAGTCAAATATTTTTACCAAAATAGATAGCAAGGTTAATATGTGCTCTGCGTTAGGTTACATTTCTCATGTCGAGCAAAATAACCCTCCCTTACATCCACTTGTTAATTCACTTAAAATTGCTGATTGTGTGGTATATGTGTCCGGTGCTAGCCTTGGTATTGGAGAAATAGTGTTGAGAGGGGCAGAAAGGGCCCATTTTCTCCAAACTCATGGTCTACGGGAGAAAGGCAGACAAAAGAGGTTAAGGTTGTAATTAAATCTATAATAACAAAACTCAGAGAAATGTTATGAATTTGATGAACGAGGTATTGTGTTGGTAAATGTGAAATGGAAGAAGATGCCAGGTTTGATATTTAAGCTAGATTTGAAGAATTAAAAAGAGAAAGCCCTGTTAAGAATTGGAGAAAGGGAATCAAGGGTGGATTCCAGGAAGGGGAGACGGATGAAGGAAGGCTTTTGGATAACAAACAGCTACAGAGCATGGCTGGAGAGCTGGGAACAAGTAGGTTAGTGACCCACATGGGATTGAAAGGAGCGGGAGCGCCAGGGTCCAGATTTCTCATAGTGCTTCTTACATTCAGAGCTAAGGAGGATTTGAAGCAGGGGTTAACCATGACTCGTGTATGTGTGTGTGTGTGAGTGTGTGTGTGTGTGTGTGTGTGTGTTTATTCCCTTTGTGGGTGCAAGAGATTGGAGAGTGAACTAGGGCAGTTATAGTAGAAATGAAAATCATCAACAAAAAGATAATTTCACAGATATAATTTCCAGGATTTACTAATGATGAGCAGAATGAAGGAAGGGAATGATGATGCCTGGCTTTCAGGCTTGGGTAACTGGATATATGGTGAATGTTGTTCCATAAAGGACATACACACACAGATTAAAAAAAAAAAACACAATTCTAGATTTTTACACAGACTGGATGATGAATTGAAGCCCAGTGACTTCCCACTTAGGGATTCCACAAAATTTGTACAACCCCTTGTCATCTATGACCTAGGAAATCTCCTTCCTTGGGCTTCTCTGCTGGCAAATACTATCCTCACGATCCTAGGTGAGGTGCAAACATTCCCAAGAACAGCTTGAGTATGTACTGCCCTGTGTTCAACAGATAACTGACTTAATAGAATTACGATAAAACTTAAAGATATGGGAAAATGTAGGACTTTGCATGAAGAGTCTCTAGTACCTTCCTTGCAGAAATTCTTCTCATTCAGTGATTTCTGACTTGCTGTAAAATTTAATAAGAAACTCCCATTGCTTCTCTGATTTATGGGTGGCTTCAAGTGGCCACTAGGATATTTGAAGGAAATCTCAATCTAAAGCTTTCATTGCCACATTTGGAAGCCTTTTATGTACTACGTAAATCAAGACTGAATTATTCTTATGAATTGTTGGCTTTCATGAGATCTCTGACAAAATAGAAGAAGAAGGAAGGAAGAAAGGAAGAAAGAAAGGAAAGAAGGAAGGAAGGAAGGAAGGAAGGAGGGAAAAAATAAACAATTTACCCAAGGTATTTAAAAAATAACTCAGCATTTGATGTTAAGTCTTAGGAAGGAAGAAATGAGACAAACAGTCGTAAAGTAATCCTGACTTATTTGTTGCCTTCAACTAAGAAGGCAGAACTACTATAACTGCCCTAGTTCACTCTACAATCTCTTGCACCCACAAAGGGAATAAATACACACACACACGCATACCCACACACACTCAGACACACAAACACACACACACACGAGTCATGGTTAACCCCTGCTTCAAATCCTCCTTAGCTCTGAATATAAGAAGTGGTACGGGAAAAGCAATTTTGAAACTATTTTAGATGCATTATTGGATTAAGCAAATCAATAAATGACATTACTGGGAGCCAGGATTCTCATCTTGGATGAAAACATATGAAAGTATGGAATGGGAAAAATAACGAAACAATGTTGTAGGTATGAAGGTAGCAGTGTAAACTCACACTTTATAAAATGTGCATTATGTGTATGTTTATATGTACATATAATGTATATGTCTGTGTGTAGATACATTTACATGTATGTTTGGGTGTAGGTATATATACTTGAATACATTTCTTATCTCTGTCTGCTGAAGGGGTCAAGTAGCAATGATACCCCAGCAGCACTGAGGTCACCTACCACCCAAATCTTGGTCTGTATCATTCCTCACTAAATGGAAATTAAATGGCTAATTCTAGGGGCGAAGTGTGGTAGACAAAAGTTGTACCTGGAACATCCTGTTATTCCGAGAAGTAAGAAAAGGGCCAGGCACGGTGGCTCATGTCTGTAATCCCGGTACTTTGGGAGGCCAATATGGGTGGATCACCTGAGGTCAAGAATTCAAGACAAGCCTGGCCAACATGGTGAAACCTCATCTCTACTAAAACTACAAAAATTAGCTGGGCATGATAGCATGTGCCTGTAATCCCAGCTACTTGGGAAGCTGAGACAGGAGAATCACTTGAATGTAGGAGGCGGAGGCTGCAGTGAGCTGAGATCACTCCACTGCACTCTAACCTGGGTGACAGAATGAGACTCCATCTCAAAAAAACAAAAAAAAAAAGAAAGAAAGAAAAAAATAAGAAAGCGCTAAAAAAATAATTGGAATGAAGGCATGTCATGAGATCATAGAGGCCAAGTTAATGAAACTCACACTGGCAAAAATTGAAAAACATTTGCGCACCAAAATCATAAGATAGCGTAATTATGAAGTATTATAAAAACATAGCAATAGTGGGTCTACAACAATAAGAAAAAAAGGAAGGGAGGAAGAAAGAAAAAAAGAGAAATGAAAAGAAAGAAAAATTAAAAAAAAAATAGGAAAGAAGGGAGAGAGAAGGAAGAGCCCTTGCTTACAGCAGAATGCTAAGCATTGACTGTAAATGTGGAAGGAGTGCTGGAGTTTGAAAATAATCATTTTTTGTAACTCTCAGAGTAAAGATTGAATCAAGCAAAACTCTGCAATAGATACTAAATCTAGGGCAAAATTTTGATGAGTTACAGGATATTTACATGGTCTTAATGTCTCCCCACAGACAGTTTATTAGTTGAAAGGGAGAAAACGTAGTAATTATACAATGGAGAAACTGGACAACATGTTGACCAAGTGGTCAAATTAAATCACCAAAGACATGGGCAGCGTATGCCCCAGATGGGATACTGTATAGAGGCCATAACATCAACAACGCGGTATTTCACCCAAGAATGTAAAATATACATTCAGTCATGAGGAAATATCAGATAAGCACAAACTGGTGACTTTATATTAATACAAAGCAGGAAGAGATTATATACTTCAACAATGTTAATGTGATGAAAAACAAATAAAGTTTATGGAAATGTTCTAGATTAAAGGAGGCTAAAGAAACATGACAACTAAAAAAAAAAAAAAAAAAAAATAGCTGGCCCTAGACTGCGCACTGTGCTGGAGGGGAAAAATGCTTATTGCGTATTGATAACATTGAATCAACTGACAAAGCTGGAATATGGATTACAGATTAGAAAAATAAATTGTTATCTATGCAAACTTTACTGAAGTCAGTGGCTTTTATTTCTTAGGCAAGGGGATATTCCCATTTTTAAAAAATACATGCTGAAGTATTTCGGGTTAAAGGGACACTGTGTATGTAACTTACCCTCAACTGGCTAAGAGAAAAGTTAGAGAGAGAAGAGACAGTGAGAGAGCACAAATGTCAAGACAAACTGGCTTAAATGTTCACAGTAGTAAAGGTATAAGGGTATTCTTTGTATTATTTTTGGAACTTTTTATAAATTTGAAATTATTTTGAAATAACTTTCTAAAATACATTTCTTAAAAAAAATGTTTTTCACCATTCTTTTGTTTTCATCCTGCTACATCCACCGCAGTACAGGACTTATTACTTTACACCCTAGACCATCCAAAACACTGCCACAGAATTAATTTCGCTCAAAACATATTTTCTCCACTTACTCTTCAGTTTAAGTGCAGTGACTTCCAATTTCCTGAAAGTCTACGAAATATAAACTACTTCATCTAGACCATCAAGTCATTGGCCTCAAAAGGCCATTCTAGCACCATGCACTTGCAAGAAGCAAAATAAAGCTTCTTAGTTCCCTGAAAATTATTCTAGCCCCACCAGCATCATTCTTTCTTGTCTGGAATTCTTTCTTGCATTATCCTTTCTTTAAAGCCTAGATCAAACATTATCAATTGCTTTAAACAATACCCAAAACCAAGTTCCTTAACTTCTCTTCTGAACTCCAAGACTATAAAGTACTCAAGTCAACCATTCAGTAGTTCATCTGTTACTCTATGTAACATATCACCCTCTATAATAATCTGTGTTTTATATGTATGTATGTATTTGCCTTATAATATCATGCATTGTCTGATAAAATACTTTCTATAGAGCCATACACTTACTAGATATTGACAAATATAAAGCAAGGGACGGTAAGTCAAAAACCAACAAACCAAAACACACAAAACAAAAAAATAAACGTAGGTTCTCTCCTCAGATCTCGTAACACATTCCAATAAAACATAATTCACTTATCCTCTTCGAGTGCCACTTACCTCATCTACAAAATGGGAATATGTGTGTCCTATCTACTTCATAGGACTCTAATATTCAAGAGGCACTCAGAGATTTTAAAATGTTCTGTTGTAGTTCTGGCATGATCTTGCCGTTGGCAGCTGCCTCTTCCCAAACTCTTACATGTGACCTTAGATACTAACTGTTCATTTCCATGCCTTTTGATAAAACCCAGTTGTCCAAACTGTGGATGCTGATCTAAGAAACAATTCATTCCTCTTCAAAGAACTGTCCTAGACCAAAACTAATTGAACTCCAATGATACTCTTCTGCCCTGTAAATTTTTTTTACCTTCCTTTCCTAAGTTAAGGAACGATTGTTTCAAAAGTTTAAAATCCTGTAGGTAATATATCCACATTGACACAGTTGACTGTTCTCTGGGCATGGGGACCTCCTTCGAATTGAATGAACAGACACGTATCCACTGTACAAGGACCATTTTGTGCTTTTTACCAGAATAATTAACATGGCTATCTCTCTGAAAAAAGAAAAAGCAGCTAATATCCCAGTGGGTCACGTGCTTGGAGTTGTTTTCAAAGTAAATAAAGGCAAAAGGATTTTTCTTCCATGAGGCTTTCCTATGTTTCTAGGGTGGACCTGCATACAGCTCACCTCAGGAATCTAAAAATGGGGGTTGAACTTGACATCCTTAATATTAGAATTTAACCAACTGAGCTGAGTGGCCAAAAATAATCTATTATAGCTTAAAATGAAAAAGTGTTTCATCTGAAAGCCAGATAGATAAACGCCAGTATATCTATCATCTTACCTAGAAGTTAAAAGGTAAAACTTGCAGTTGTTCATTGCCAAAATATATACAAAACAAAGAAACTCAACAGAAATTGGCATCTAAACATGACTGCAATATTTGATGAGGCACCAAGATATTTATCAGGCCACAAAAGAAAATATATTATAATTTCTTCTTGCACTATTAAAGGGCCAAGAATATGACATAAAATGTGTCATTTTTGAGGAAAAACACCTAACAGACTGCTTATTTAATAAAATAGTTACTAGAAAAAAATAGAATAAAAATGGATTGTGTGAATACATTTCAAGTTGTGTACCAGCCTTGGTGTGCAAAACCACCTGCAAGAAATGAGAGTCAAAAGCGTTAGCATAGGAAAAGACAATGGGACAGAGGTGTTTACCTGTCATGGCCTGTTGGTCATCCACTGTTAACTTTAAACTTTTTCCACGCCGAACTACACGCACTGTGTGCCACTCGTTATCATTGAGGTTATAGCCAGCAAAAAGAGTCTCGGGACCTTTGCCTGTAGAATATGCCAAACAGTCATTATGGACACTCAGAATCAGTCAAGCAAATGAACCTCACAGAGAGTGAGAGAAAGAGACAAGGGGGGAAGGTGAGGGAGAGAGAGGAGAGAAAGAAGAAAGGAAGAAAGAGAGAGAGGAGGGAGAGAAAGGAAACAGAGAAGAGGCGGGCTGGACCAATTTTCAAGCCCATTAGAGTCATAGCAAGCAAGGAAAATGACAACTTTTACAAACATTCAGGTGTGACCATTTAAGAATCTTTAATCCTACGCATTGATCCATAACAAGTGAATTAACCTGCTGTCATAAATAGGCACAGTCAATACAGCACTGGGAACCCACCCAAATTTACACACACATTTTTAAAAATAAATTCTCTGATTTTTAGTTACCACTTTCCTGCTAACAAAGTGTCTAGCCATCATGTAACCTCTGAGCTCTAGAAGACATCTGACTGTAGCCCATTAGCTAATCGTTTTCAGTGAGATAAGTCTCCCAGTAGACTCTGGGAGAAGGTACTATCTTGTGTGATGGCGGCTATTCCGCTCTTATACCTGGTACCTCCAGTGCTCAACACGTTCTTAGGTTCTTTAGCCTCCTAAATTTATGGAATGTTGAGTCTAAAAAACACATCGAAATAAACCTTACAACTAATTGACCTGTACGTCACAAATCTGTCTGTGTGTGGCAGAGGCACTTCTGGCAGGTGTAGGTATAAGTATTGACTCACAGTAAGTGGACCGAAGAAAAGGAAAGAAAAAAAAAAAATAGGCACAGCCAATAAAGGGCCAACTGTTGAGCATGAAGGAAAAGTAGTGATATTAAACAACAGTAGAGAGCAAGGGATTACCAGTGGGCATCGAGTGGGCAAGAAGTATAACTGGGAAAGTAACTGCTAGTGAATCTATATAAACCTATGCAAATGAAATTTAAATGGACTCAGCAGAGACATATTATTTCAGAAAGGTGTTTGGTAGAAATTATTGAAATGATTAAGTTAGACTATATCCGTCACCTCAAAAAAAAAAAAAAAAAAAAGCAAGGGAAAATGCTTTTAACATAACCAGATATTTTTATTTAAAAAATAAGTATTTCTACTAATCTGACATTATGAGTCATTGAGAAAAAATAACATTAAAGATACATTGTTTGGTAATGAATTTTTTCCCTGGTGTTTTTTTAAGTATGGAAACATGCTGGTACATTAAAATAATGAAGGGCATTATATCATTGAGTTTCATGTCTTTCAACGAATTGAGAATCAGGATTGGAGTTCACAATTTGTTTAACCAAATTCTGCCAGCAAAACCAATTAATGCCCAAGGATCACGGGAGGATATATGAGAAAGTAAAGATACAGGCCAAGGAGAAGAAGAAAAAAAAAGAGGAGAGCAAGAGAGATCGAGTAAGAGACAGAGAACCAAGTAAAATAAACCTCAGTTTTCCATCCACATGAGATCATTGTTTTCTTTCAGAACTACACCCTATCCACCAGCCTATTGATTTCTCTCTTATGGTGCTACTAATAATTCAAGTGTTGTATCCTTGGCTGGTGTATCTCAGGTTAGAAATGAGCCAGTGATATGAGCTAAATTTTAAAGGATGAATTGCCTCAGTTATTTATATCTGTTTGTATCTTTAGAGAAATTAAATTACAACTCCAGATACATGAATTTAAAACTATTCTAGATATAACAGTTTTAAGAGATTGATGGCTAAATAACTAGAGAAAGCCTGCTAGTCCAGCAACTGCAAAAATACTTTGAGATCAAATGTTGAAAGCAAGTTCCAGGATGAAAAAAAAAAAACTCTTTCTAAATTCAATAGTGAAGAAAGAAGTGTTTAATAACTCTGCAGCATCTTAGCATCCTGCTGGCAGTAAGGGTCATCTTTCATTTTGATCCTTGAAAAGAGAACATATCATTTTAGAGCTATTTTTATAGGGAACTTTTTTTTTTTGTTAGAAATATGTGCTTTTGAAGCAGCTTCACTTCTATTCTTTTCTTTTTTAAATATATTTTGTCAAGGAAAGGAAGCATACATAAGGGTGATATCATCGTTATACCCCATCCTTGGCTTGATCTTGCAGTAAAGTCATAATGCTTAATCTATGCAACAACTATTTCCATAACAACAGGCATAAAATCCAATTAAAAATAACCCTTTGGTTCATAAAAATCTCTGTGCGCCAACTTCTAGCTCCTTTCATGCATTATTAAAATTGTGAACAGATTGATTTTAGAAGATAAGGTTTTTAAAAAGGCACTTAATAGTCTCACTTCAACACAATGTTACCCATGCAACATGAAGTGTAATGGAAAGTGCACTAGACTGGGAGTTAAGAATTGCAGTTGCTAGATCATGATTTCCTACTAAAAAAGAAGTTGGGGGTTGCTGAGTGCTTATTATGTAGCAGGCACTTTGTCTGTTGTCTTGCTTCACCTTTACATTATTAATCTGCAGATGTGAAACTGAAGGCCTATAAAGCTACAACTACTTGTCGCCAGGTCACACAGCTAAAAAGTGGTAGAACCAAGTTTCATCCTTGGCCTGACCTACTCAAAGCCTGCATGCTTTTCCCTGCATTATTCAGCCTCGTAGTTATGAGAATCTTTGGCTAACAACTTAATTTCTCACTTTCCCCATATTGGAACAAAGGAGATGGAAAAGATCCTCTTTGTGGTGACTCCCAGCTTGCCCTACAGAATGATCACACTGCTAGCAAATCCTACACACCCTCTGCACAAGTCCTGGTGGAAGCAAATCTCTAAGTAATACAATGTCTATCTAGGGATGCTGAAATGACTGTTCCTAAAGATATGACACAGAAGAAGGGACATCATTTTAGGACCTGTCTCCACCCACAATCAGCAATTTGCTAACACACTCAACTTCTGGTGGTCTCAGCATTCCCATCCATAAAGTGAGGAGAGTTTCCAGCTGATCTTTACAGTTCCTTTAGAATTTCACTTTCTCACAGAATTTAACATATACAAACTTGTTAAAGAAAGATGGTTTAACTGTTGAAATTTTGAATTTGAGAGTTTGTCCTCTTGCTATAATTTTAATGGCAAAATTATAGTAACTTCAAGCTGTTAATGACCTTTCAGGATTTCCTTTCCTTTGGGGGATATCAAACCATGCATCAGTTGTGCCAACGTCTTTCTCCCTGCATCAATGTATTACAGACTTAATGTGTGTGTCCCTCAGAATTCACTATGTTGAATTTCTAACCCACAAAGTGATGGTATGAGAAGGTGGGGCCTTCAAGATATGATTAGGTTTAGATAAGGGTGGAGTCCCATGATGGGATAGGGCCCTCACAAGAAGTGGAACAAACACCAGAGCGTCCCCTCTGCCATGTGAGGATACAAAGAGAAGGTGGCTGCCTACCAGCCAGGAAGAAGGCCCTCACCAAGAGCCAAATCTGCTGACACTTCAATCTTTGACTTCAAGCCTTCAAAAAACTGAGGTGAAAAAAAAATTCTGTTGTTTAAGCCATCCAATCTATGGTATTCTGTTGTAACAGCCCAAGAAGACTAACACAGTGGGCAATATTTTAAAGACTTTTAAGAAAGTCTATAGCTGGCTGGGCATGGTGGCTCTCGTCTGTAATCCCAGCATTTTGTGAAGTTGAGGCGGGAGAATCACGAGGTCAGGAGTTTGAGACCAGCCTGGCCAACAGGGTGAAACCCTCTCTCTACTAAAAATACAAAAAATAGCTGGGTGTAGTGGCAGGAACCCGTAATCCCAGCTACTCAGGAGGCTGAGGCAGGAGAATTGCTTGAACCCAGGAGGCGGAGGTTGCAGTGAGCCGAGATCTCGCCATTGCACTCCAGCCTGGATGACAGAGAGAGACTCCATCTCAAAAAAAAAAAAAAAAAAAAAAAAAAAACCACAAAAGAAAAGAAAGAAAGAAAAGAAAGACCATAGCCTTATGTCTATTAAAAGACATCATTCCTTATGTTTTGTAGGGAGTTTTGATTTGTTTGTAATTTTACACTTGATTTTTACTGTAACATATTATTTAAGCCAGATATATTAATTTTTCATTTTATAGTTAAAGAAGCAGATTTAAAAGTGTTGAGCGAATTATTAAGTCTCAAAGGCAGTAAGAAGTAGAGAGAAGACTGAGATTTTGAAATTTTCTATTTTCATTAAAATGTGTTTTCCACAGAAAATGATCTGCAAGTAGTGTAAGAGGTACAACGGGACTGAATGCCCCCAGCTAATATTTCACCAGACCAGGTCAGAATTCAGCTCTACAGGCTAATGTTATATTAAAGAATTTTAGAACTAGGAGGGACATGAGAAGTGTAGAATTTCAATCATCATCTACAAATAAGAAACATGAAGTGCAAAGACATTAGATGACGTCCCCATTGTCACAACTGTTAAATTAAGAAGCATAGGTCTCTAGACTCTCAGTCTAACAAGCTTTTTTTTTTTTAATTATTATTAAGACAGAATCTCGCTCTGTTGCTCAGGCTAGAGTGCAGTGGTGCAATCTCGGCTCACTGCAACCTCTGCCTCCCAGGTTCAAGTGACTCTCCTGCCTCAGCCTCCCAGGGAGCTGGGATTACAGGCACCCACTACCATGCCCAGCTAATTTTTGTATTTTAATAGACATGGAGTTTCACCATGTTCGAGGCCAGTCTGGTCTCGAACTCCTGATCTCTGCCAGCCTTGGCCTACCAAAGTGCTGGAATTACAGGTGCGGACCACAGTGCGCCCAGCCCTAACAAACTTTTAAAAAATTATTCTGTTCATTAGACAATGCTGATTTAGAATGAATTTCTCAAGGCACACCAAAATCTGAGTCTGAGTTTAATAAGTCTGTCAGTGCTTGTCAACAGAGTTTGACCTAATCTATGGTACAACAGCCAAATTTTTTGGCTGGTGATATTCACTGGGTTTGCTGGTGACCCTGTAGCTAAAACCTATTGATAACAGATGGAAGTAGAAGCAGTAAACATTTCAGTTTTCCTTAATTCAGTGTAAATTGAGTGTTCTTCCACAACCTACCCATCCATAAATTCAAGGTGTCTCTAAGATTAACTCCTAAGAAGGGCTGGAGTTAACCCTAACTTGAGGCATGGTACCGACAGAGGAAAATGTGTGTTAGCAAGTATATGTGTGTATGTGGGTGTGTGTGTGTGAGAGGGATAGAGAGAGAGACACACACTCAAAAGATGGTAGATTTTTGGCCATTTTAGTAACCACATTTGCTAATGACTTTTACTTCCATTTTCACATCAACATGATTCTTAGGTTTCTTTAAATATTAGTCTCAGAACAAAGGAAATTTCATGCTATAATTTGTAGTTATGGGAGGTAATGGTAAAGAAAATTGGATTTTGTCCCCAGTCTGTCATCAACTAATTATGTTACCTTGAAGACGACATGTATTCTCTCTATTCCTATTTTTATCTGTAAAATGATAATCCCATATAAAAGCATATTAAAAAAAAAACTTTCCTACAGCCAACTTCAAACTATTGTCATTCTTAGAAGGACCAAAACTACCTCGCGGCTACATGAAAGAGTGCAATGTTATAGTGAATATCTCTAATGGTGCAAGCTTTTTATTTTTATTATTACTGTTACTAATTTCATCACTTTTGTTTTGGCACAGTAGGCAGAGAGCAGACCAAGCCTTAAAGAGGCTCTTCTACCCAAGAATTACTACACTCAAGTGAAGCCAGAGGACAATATTAATACGTGCTAGAAAATGTGTTTATTATTTTATATAGTCAAATTTTAATGGTGATAACTTTTTTCTTTTGACAACATGTAATTATGTTACAACTATTTTTGTTAATCACTATAAATTTTGTTAATCACTATAAATTATATTTGAAAGTACTGAAGCACAGACTACTAAGTGAATGTATTTAAGAAAGAAAGAATAGCATTCAAGGGATGCATAGCTATGCTACTTAGTCCAGCTCTCCTTTTACAGACATCTCCATGGGAGGTTAGTTGCCTTGCCTCTGTCTTCCTTGTTATTGGCAGGATGAAACTAATGCCTGGGTCTTGAACTTATTTAGGACCTAACATGCATTACCTAATTGTCTGGCCAAAGTCAGAGAGGGTAAACATTCTTTGACCTTTGCATATCATTCCTTTCCCTATTTATATTTTTACATATTCAAAAAATATTGTTCTAAATACATTTTAAACAAACCCACCTGCTTTGGATAGCAGAATCAGTACAATTTACAAAGAACCTCACTGCCATACACAGTTTCGGAAGCAGTGATGAAACGGGTGTGTTTTTTCACATACCTCTTTACATTTGGTTCAAATGTAGATTCTCATATATTTCAGGGGAGATCTGCATGCATCATAAGAAAAGCTTGAACTTGGTTGAGAGTTATATAAACTTGGATTTGAAAGCAGGTATTGCATTTTCTGGTTGCTTAGGCTTGGGTATGTTAGCTTCTTTGAGCTTTCCTTCCATCATCTATAAATGTGAGATAATAATGCCTACCTTATTTCATAGATTTGTTGTAAGGACTAAGGGATATAACAAATCTAATGTGTTTGGTGCTTTGCACTTTGTGTAATCTCAATGAATATTAATTTCCTTTCTCTCCTTTTTATGGAAAATAAGTTAAGTAACAGTGCATGAGTTCTGCAAACCACCAAAGGATCTACCATTAAAAAATGGTTGACAGTCAAATACACTATACACTATATAAAAATGTATATTGAAAGAAACATCCACAATTTTTATTTGAACACGCACACTGCAGTCTAGTTTTTTGAAATTAGGCCTCCCAAAGTCAAATTTTTTGGAACAGTTGCCATTTTAACCTGAGATTTCACAGTATTTGTGTTTGGTTATTTAATTCCTAAGCATTCACCCTGAATATAAAAATAAATGTAAAATACACTTGCAAGGGAACCTGAAATAGATCAATAACGACATGCTTAATCTTGCTGGGTTAAAATAAGATGTACATGATACTAAATTTGGATGCTTTTTGCTACAAAGCCTTCTGTGCAAATATCTTGTGAACAATTTATACTGGTTTATGAATGTGGAGGGAAAATATAGTGAAGAGAAATAGAGAAGAATAAAACAAAGCTGAGACCCTTTCAAGCAATGGAAGCAAAGACCTCTAAGAGACAAAACTGGCAGATGCCTCTGGAACTGAAAGGTGGATGTAGCTGTACAGAAACTTGAAAAAAAACAAAAACAAAAACCCATAGCAGTTATATTTGGAGTTTTAAACTCTTAGATGTATGTGCCCCAAGTGTAAACTCATTGCATCTCTACACACCCTTTAGGTAGCTTTCTCCCTCTAGTGGTGCATATATTTTAAAGAGGTTAACTACATAAATGAACTATCTTTATGGTGTACCCTGCTTCTGGTATATATATACTCTGGTACAGTGCAAACCAATTGGTTCTAAAGTTCACTTTATTTGTCTAACATATTCATTGTAATTTCTACTTTAAAATTCTACCTAGTTATTTCAGTGGTTAATCTGACTTACTCAATTAAACCATTTATCGAGCATGAAGATTTTGATGGGTATTTCTGCAAAACCATCACCTAACAAATTGCACAGATGATGGACAGGCAGGAATTTTTTAAAAATACTAGAATCACCTTATATGTATAAATTGGTTCTATATTTATACATGATTGTTCAATATATTTAGACCTACAGCACCTGGTAATTGAATTAGGAAGAGAAGTTACAGTACCATAGCATCTGAGAATTATAAAATTTTAAAACTGAATGGTCCATATTGTGTCTGTTGTTTATCCCATTTAGCTACTCATTTATTCTGGGTTCCATGGCACCCATATGCTATTAATTTTGTTTAAAATTTATTTTGTGCCAAATACCGATCTCAGCATTGGGAATATCCGAGTTACAGTCAAAGGAACTTACATTCTAATAGGTCAGAAGTCAAAACACTTTTTCTGTAAAGGGCCAGACAGTAAATTTATTTGACTTTGCCGACCATGTGTTCACCATTGCAACTCTTCAACTTTACTATTGCAATGTAAAAGCAAGCATAGAATGTATGTAAACAAATGGAGTGGCTGTGTTTCAGTAAAGCTTCATTAAAACAGGGAGCTAGCTTGAGAGCTATAGTGTTCAAGACCCTGTAAGATAAACACGTATAGATAATTTAAACGTTTCCCATAAATTCTGCATTGCATATTAAAGAATAACAGAAACATACTCAAGAATTTAAGTGCGAGGAAACCTGAGTTTTAGATTCGATATTGCCACTAACTGTAACATAACCTTAAAAATACTAATTCTCCTAACTTTTTTACTGCTGTTTGTTTTCTTAAGAAACAACTAAAATCAATTTTTAAAGGCTTTAAGCCCGGGCTCCCCACCCCCCAGGCCACAGACAGGTACCAGCCTGTTAGGAAGCATGCCGCACAGCAGGAGGTGGGCAGCAGGCAAGCCAGAGAAGCTTCATCTGTATTTACAGCCGCTCTCCATTACTCACATCACCATCTGAGCTCCACCTCATGTCAGATCAGCAGTGACAACCGATTCTCACAGGAATGCAAACCCTATTGTGAACTGCACATGCAAGGGATCTAGGTTTCATGCTCCTTAGGAGAATCTAATGCCTGATAATCAGTCACTGTCTCCCATTACCCTCAGATGAGACTCTCTAGTTGCTGGTAAACAACCTCTAGTTTTACTGATTCTACCTTATGGTGAGATGTATAATGATTTCATTATATATTACAATGTAATAGTAATAGAAATAAGGTGGATGATACATGTAGTGAAATTCAATTATCCTGAAATCACTCCCGTCTGTGGTAAAATTGTCTTCCATGAAACCAGTCCCTCATGCCAAAAAGTTTGGAGACCACTGCTTTAAATGACACAAATCAATTGCAAAGTCCTTCTACTTATAAAATCTAGGATAAATTAGGTTCCTTTCCTTTTCTGCAAATTTAGAATAGAAACATTCATTAAATGCTTGGGGTGTGTGTGTGTGTGTGTGTGTGTGTGTGTGTGTGTGTGTGTCTGCATGCACCTTTGTTAAAAATTTGGTTATTAGGTTTCTACGTATATCAACTTTTCCAGGTACTAACAAGTTTTATTTGGCAGTTGACTTTGGGGACTGTAGTCTCTGGGGTGAGGCAGGACCTTGTGAGAAGCTGGAAGCAAGCCTTGTCATTGTGACAATGATGAGAAGATGGAAGCAGGAGCTACCACTGCTTGATGCCTGAGTCATAGTTGCTGGCAGCAGTACTTCCTACCTACAAATGATGAGAGGATATGTTTCCCAGGTTGTAATTATGACACCTTCAGCCTACTATTTGACTTTCCCATTACTTTCTGGTTTTAAAGTAATCTGTCCTCCAGTTAAAAAAATTCAAAGGAGATTAACTCCTCATTACAGGTTTCTATTTTATCCTTCTCAATTTTTAGGTATTGAGTTGTGAGTGAAACCTGTTTGTTTTAATTTTTCACAAGAATCAGCTAGAACATTCAATTACAAATTAAATTTAGACATGTAAATGGCACTTCTAAATTTTCCTTTTTCTGCCTCTTAACATTACTAGAGGCAGGATGAGCCACATAATTTGAGAGTCCATTGCAAATAAAAATGTGGAGTCCTTATTCAAAATTAAGAATTTCAAGATGGTAGCAGTGGAGCATTAACCCAAGCACAACACAAGCTCAGCATATGGCACGGTGTGACTGCATAAGTTGTATGCTGTTGAAGCCAGTTCTTTTTAGGAGTATAAGTTTTGTGCTTATTTATTTTTGATGCTTCCTTTAGTAGATTCTACATTCAGGAATGAGCAGACAAGGCTGGAGGCAAAATTCTTCATTTATCTATGTGAGAAGCATAGTTGAGTCACCTTCCCCAGAGTATCCACACTTAATGACATGGTCTCTGGGGTATCAGAGAAGCTGTCTCAGGCTTGTTTTGCTGGCCAGGCCTGGTGCCAATCATGAACTGGGCTTGGTGATACACCAATAACCCTCAGAACCAGGAAGCAAAACTACCTGCTGACCCATGTAACTCCTTTCTCTTTTCCTTCTCTATTCCTCCTCAAGTGCTCCTCAATTTAGCCAAGGATATACCCTTGAGAACTATTCAGAATGTCCCATAAAGAGATGCTTGCCTCCTTTTTTTTAATAAGCAAAGAGATAGAGTCCTAAGGACAGACACATTTCTTTATGCTAAAAATACTAGAAATACTCATCCCAGTTAAAAAGTACTTTGACTAAATGATATAAAGTCAGACATTCAGCTTGATGTTTGTTTTTCAAAAATGAACACTAATAACAGAGAAAGACATTTTATAAACTTTAAAAAATCCACTGGAGAAATTAAATAGTCATGTGCTGACCAACTATATTGCATTTATTTTTTGACCCACACAGACTGTTGAGTTTTATCCTGGTTCTACAAGTTATTAGCTGTGTGACCTTGAGCAACCTTCTTACTTTCTGCATGCCTCAGTATCCTCATATATCTCATAAGCTAATACTAGAAACAATGTAAATGGGTTTCATGCATCTTAATAACTCAAAACTACTTTTAATCAAAGGTTTAATGCATCTTAATAACGCAAGAAGCTTACCATAATCTGATTTATGGTAAGCTTTCAATTATAGTAGTGATAAAAGTAACTATCATCAGTATTATGTTGTCATTTTTATCTTCTCCTCAATGAGTTTAAAATCTCAGAGAAAATATGATATAGCTCAGTGCCTTGAACATAACGGCAATTCACTAAGTATTTGTTGAATGGGTTTATTTGTGTAAACTTTGTGGGACTTTTTTTTAAATGGTAGATGAAATACCCCTTGATATTAAATTAAGCCAAGTAGTTGATGAAAAGTAACTCCATCTTTTAATGCCTCCATTCACTAAGAAAGGTAAATATAAAGAAAACTCTGTCCTCCTGTTTTCATATTTAGCAGGATGGAATTTGGTAACCCCTACAGTTGGAGAACTTGAGTAACTCAGTTATCTGGATAACTATTTGGACAGCTTTTTCGCTCAGTTACATTGAAAATAAACTTCATGATGCATACAGCCTAGTGGAACAAAATGACCTAAGGTTAGCAGTGAATAACTTCCGAGTCCAAAGGAAATAGTTGGCTTAGAAATTGGGGGAACTCAAAACTTACTGAGTATTTAATTATAAAAAAACACAGATCTTGTCCTCAAGTGGATGTGACCTTGGAGAGTTGTTGGAAACACCCTCCAGAGACTTTTCTGCCATTTTCCTAAATGATAGCAAACTTATTCTATTATCTACAAAATAAATTTCAGTATTTCTCGATGCTTCACCTCCTGCTCTATTTCTTCTGGCCTATAAATATCATTGCCTATGCAAACGAATAAACAAGGTTAAAATCACCTACTTCATCTACTAAGAAACATTAAGCCTCTGTAGTTTTGTCATTGATTGTACCCATTTATGACAGACAAGGATAAATATCTCTTATGTAAATATATTTCAATGCGAAAAACATACATTTTAAGAATTATAATTTACTTTTTAAGAAGAGAATTACATTTACAACACAGTAAAAATGAACACAAATTAAATAAATATATTTCTAGAAAAAATGTTCTAAAACTAGCAATCTTTAAATCTAATCTAGCTCAACTGGCAAGTTTAAGAAGTATAATAAAATAAGCCTAATACAATGAAAGTAACAATTCAGACTGTGATTTTATTTTTTTCAAAAGGTCAATTCCAAGGGATGCTTATCACATAACAGGACAGCTAGCAGATATAAAATTGAGTACTAAATAGTTCAATTTGCTTTTGAGTAAGCATTAAAAACTGAAAA
Organism: Homo sapiens; assembly: GCF_000001405.40. NCBI lineage: Eukaryota > Metazoa > Chordata > Mammalia > Primates > Hominidae > Homo > Homo sapiens. The sequence goes on from NC_000002.12 coordinate 50,518,442, forward strand.
TGTATTCAGTGTTTGTGTAGTGTTAAAGAAAAGGGTTATACTGATTTATAGTAATACTCATTTAATGTATTTTCTGCAATACATACACAATGCCAAGTTGTCTGAATAAAAAAAAATCAAAAAGCATATGGGTCCTGAGCATTTGGATATTTACAAAATGTAAACTGATATTCCATAAACGAAGCCATGGATTATAGTCACAAATGCATTTTTTTAAAATTAAATATATCATTCCATGTCTAAATACACCACTGTAATAGTTATAGCATTTTTTTAATGAGGTCAAGAAGGATGTACATTTTTTCATAATTCAAGATCAATGAATTTACCTTTTACTTTCCATTTCTTCTTAACATAAGGATAGCTGAATATTATTAAGTACATGACTGAATTCACAAAATTTAGTTCATCCTCAGTATTTTTGAGATATTCTAGTATAAACTTTTTCCAAAAGTAAGAAGCATATTAGAGAAAAAAACCCTAAGTTTCTGCCTTTATTAAGTTTATTTATTTTTTCTTCCTTTCTTTTTACTGGGAAGTCATTATAATGCGTAGAAATCTATTTCTCAGTATTGTCAACTTTATGGACCTATTTGCTTAAAGAAAACAAATTCTAAGAAATGTGACAATTGATGAATGGTAGCATCTCGTGTCTTGCTTTCTTTTTGTTTCTTTACATAATGATTGTTCAAATGAAGGCTATGGACAAACTGTACATGATTATTAATGCATTCATCATGTGAACATTCGAATGCAATATATTTTTTCTAAGCAATGATATAATTATTAGCTAAACCCTTCTTTATTTGAATTTTAAGATTTTAATGACAGTGCTAACTTAATTGTTTTCTTTAATCATCACTGGATTATTTATTAAGCTAGCTTTTAGTCAGTGGCTTGAATTCTATGATTCTCTTTGACCATTTATTTTAGTAATTGAAAAATATTGGAATTAATTCTTTGAAGTTATCTTTGGGCAAATGTCTTCTGAAATGAATGGCTCACCTTATGCTCCAGGAAATGTTCTAAAATGGCAATTGTCCAACTATAACAATAACTTAGCAATTAAATCTTAGGCCAAATTAACTTGGTTTATCTGAAGAGACAGTGTGTGAAGGTTCCTTGGAACTGGTCAAACCACTGATAGAAATGTTGAGTTATGTCTCTGTGCCTGTTTCTGGTTGATCTTCCTAAGGTAAGATTATGTTAGATTTTCTATTAGTAGGTTACAGTCAAGGACGATAACTTATACTAACACATCTAGAAGCATCTTCTCATGTGTGGCTATTCAAATCTGGTTTATTTCTCATGATCTTGTTCACAGATGCTCCCAACCAGTTATCATCTGAGAAAACTGAGATCACTGAAGAATCATGGTATAATTTCCATTGGTAGACATATTTTTCCTCCCTATTATATGTTACTTCAACTGGCTCAGTGACCTGGAATTGCTTTATATAACCTTGGCATAAAATCTAAGAGAAACAATAGATTACATTTAAAAATATTGTATGTTTTAATCAAAGACAGGACATAATGTTTACAAGATGTTGCTAAAATTAGAGAACGGGGTGCAAAACATTCCTATACCATGGCTCTATATTTTTAAAGAAGCACATATTATACCATGTGTTATATATTAAGTACATAATGTGCCAAGTATTATGTGCTATAAGGGCATTTAAGACATTAATAAAACTTTTCTGTGAAAATTGAAATCCTAGGCTACTTTTATGTATTTTCTGTTTCCTTTAGCCTCCAAATATGAATACTATTTCTGATTAGGAACAAAATGTTGTTCTGAAAGATATTCATTCTATTTTGAGAGTCAAAATTAGTAGGAAATTTAGCCTGTAAATTAATTTAAAATGTACATGATGTATTACAAATATATGATCTAGTGTAGCTTTATCCTAAATATTGGTGGGATTGGTTTAAATTATATTTTACTTTTACCCACTTTTGATTTTTTAATCACAATAGCAAAGAAAAAACATTGTAGAAATTATAGATGATGAATAGAAAAAAAAACTAAAAATTACCTCAATCTCACCAGCAGATATAAACATTTAGAGGGATATACTTCCAGAAACATAATAGAAAAGCAATTTTGTTATGAAGGTCCCTTGCCTGTTCCATAATTGATAACTCAAAAAAAATAGGAGATGCTGATTACTTCTTCACTGCCTATTGGCTGAACTAATTTTACTTAATTGATTGCATAAAGAATTTCTTGATTACCAATATATTATTTTTAGCAGTATAAAATTTCTCAGTTGATTTATTAAACAGAATTTATTTTATGGGGTTTCTACAATTTTTATTTATTGTACTCATCATAATGGTCTAACTCCATATTTATCTGCCTATTTCAACACTATTAGGTGAATATGTCTGACTACTAAGAGAACACCTGCATTATTTGATTTAAAAATTTCTTTTTTATTTTCTTTACTAGAAACTTATAATTCATGAAAAATCTGTAAAAACAACTTTAAGACATGTCATTACAGTATGTTTGTTCTATAATATTTTGGTTTTAATTTTTACATGCATAAACTACTTCCTTTGCGCCTACTGAAATGTAAAACATTTTAGAATTCTTTAAGTTGTATAGAAGTTCATACTTATTTACACTGGAAACTTCCTGGTTCCAAAGCTGGTTGATTTCTCCATGTATTTGAAAATTTAATGGGTGCACTTCACTAGAAACCTACATTCTTCGTAAGCAACATTTAAAAGGGATTTTGTTAACTCATATCTTAAATCACGCATTTCAAAAGCAATTTTAACCATAACATTTATCTGTAGAAAAAGGCAATTGTCTTTGAAATTTAATTAATTTCAATAGTACTATGCATAAAATATTTCGAGTCTGTATTTAGACTGATATCCTGGGAAGTGCAGTTGGAGAGTGAAGAATTTCCACAATTGTATGAATGATGAACTCAAAGAACAAGTAATAATAAACAATCCAATTTTAAGTACATTAAAAATAAAGTAATTTAGCCTTTTAGTATTTCTTATTCATCTTCAGGAAAACTGTTTTCATAATGCATTTCTTATCCATCTTGCTTTTTGCTCACATTGTTAATAAGTAAAAGAAGTGGATAAGAGTTCTGAGCACACAAAACATTTCAATCTCCAAATTCTTTGACCGTCCCCATGATTTAAAGAGCCTTGCCCACTTGACTTATGTACCACATGTTAGCCAGTAATCTGTTGAACAGATTGTAATTCTCATGGGTATTTTATAGCTAAACTGAAAACAATTTTCAGTCAGACAACATATAGAAAAGATGCTTGTGTAGAAAGCTTGCTGCTCCTACATCTGCTCTGAGGAGAGTGTATCATGTGGCCTCTATTCTAATGACAGCTATTTGGATCACCAGTGGATCCAATTGGATCCAGCAACTGGATCATCTGCCACCAAAACTAAGATCTGGTGAGTAGCTTATGGGGCGACCTGAACTGAAAGATTTGTCCAACGGGACAAGGATAAGTAATAGATTCACTAGATTCTCTTTCTAGAAAAGTCGAATATACAACATATAGAGAGTATACAGCCAGTGAAAGGGATGACAGAAAGAAAGAGAGAGAGCAGAAAGGAAGAAAAGGAGGGAGGAAGGCAGAGAAGAATACAGTAAAGGAAGGAAGAGAAGAAACTCAAAACAATGGAGGAAGTGGGGTATGTTTAGAAGCAGCTCTTCATAACGACAACAAATAAAAACATCTGGCCAACATGCTGTGTTCTCTTAGATTTGGGGATATTTGTATAAAAGAAACTCCCTTTTCACAGAAACTAATAAGAGAATATCAAGTTTAGAATGTTTCTTCTAAAACTTTCTTGGATTTTATAATACTTTTTACCTAGGCAATTGTTATAATGCCGACTCTCAACAATTGAAGAGAATTTGATCAATTTGGTCAACACTCAAGAATGTTGCATTACTTTGAGAGTCTCTGCAGTATCAATAATGCTTAACGTGAATAAATTAATAACTGTGCTTGGTTTCAACATGCATTCTTAAACTGCACAAGAGTAGTTTTTAGAATATCACAGCATTTTATATTTGCATATAAGCAATCAGTAGATTAATCATTCACTAAAATAGACCAAAGCAATCTACTTTTCAACCACTCACAGTATCATTCTGTTGCCTAATCCATGTAGTCATCTAAATATGCAATGAAAGCTGTATTCTTCTTTACAATTCTCATAAGTTTAAACATGTGGATAATTTAAATGGGCTTCCATTTATTCATTTATTTTTATTCATTTTTTTTTTTTTTTTTTTTTTTTTTTTTTGAGAGGAGTCTTGCTCTCTCACCCAGGCTGGAGTGCAATGGCGCAACCTTGGCTCAGTGCAACCTCCGCCTGCCAGGTTCAAGCAATTCTCCTGCCTCAGCCTCCCAAGTAGCTGGGATTATAGGCACCTGCCACTATGCCCTGCTAGTTTTTTTGTATTTTTAGTAGAGACGGGGTTTCACCATGCTGGTCAGGCTGGTCCTAGAACTCCTGACCTCAGGTGATCCACCCGCCTCAGCCTCCCAAACTGCTGGGATTACAGGCGTGAGCCACAGCACCCAGCCTCAATTTCGATATTATTCTAAAGACTCATTGCCATGTGCCAATACACTGCCTGTTTTTATTTGTTTTCTGTCAGAAATCTATGTTCATTCTTTACATTTTACATGCAATTTTTTTTGATTTTTGCTGAAAATAATAATTTATAAACTTTCTTTTCATTCCCTTCACATATACTTTAAGTAAAACAACACAGAAACAACAACAAAAAACAACGAGACTTCTGTTTTCTTTATTTATACTTTGAACTTCCCTTATTCCTTGAGCAGCTTCTATCCTAGGCAGGTGGATAGCACCAGTCACTGACAGGCAATGACTGGCAGAACTCCACAAATCAAGTGACTGCTGTGTGAAGGCAGAGGCGAAAGACTCCCTTTTACAGTTTTCTGCTCTCAGGCATCAAGCAGCGACTCTAAACTGAATATTTACTTTATGTTAACAAGCTCCAGCCCCTAGAAATTTCCTCATATCTTTTTAAGTAGCTTCTCAAATGGCAGCCTGATCAAAGCAATCTAATATGGCTTAAGTGCCAGTGGTTGACATTTTGCATTCTTTTATTGCTTTCCATTTTTATCTACATAAAAATTGGTGATAACTAATATCCATTTGATCTTTTCATTCTGGTAATAAAATGGTAATACAAAGATCTTATTATCTACTCCAGACATCCATCAAAGTACATTTTTCAAAAATATACTATGTGAAGTGTTTCTTCCCTATACCCAAGTCAAAAGCGAGGTCAAGTACTTGTCCTTAGATGCCCCTTCTCTCCAATACTTGGGCACTGGACTGCAAATAGGAATTGAACTTCAGCCCTTGATGCTTTGTTCACACTAATGTTATATGTAATTGTGTTGTCTCTGCCTCTTAAATACACTATTTTCTGTGAGAAGCCAAAAGTACTTGGAAGGTCTGCTTAAATATTTTTTTTAACTCCAGAGTTTTTATTCTTCTAAGAAGACAAGAAAAAAGATAACGGAAGAAACAATACTGGAAATGAAGAAGTAAGAAGAGTGAATCTTAATAGAAAGAAAGGAAGTGCAGGTAGGTGGGAGAACAGACAAATGTAATAAGGCATAAAGAAAGCCACATAATGCAAACAAAACAAGCCCCAGAGATCATGAGTTTATTAAATCTATTTTTATATGGATGCAGAAGTGTCCCTGAGGACGGGTGTGGTGGCTCACGCCTGTAATCCCAGCACTTTGGGAGGCCAAGGCAGACAGATCACCTGAGGTCAGGAGTTCGAGACGAGCCCGGCCAACATGGCAAAACCCCATCTCTACTAAAAATACAAAAATTAGCCAGGCATGCTGGTGCACGCCTGTAGTTCCAGCTACTTGGAAGGCTGAGGTAGGAGAACTGCTTGAATCTGGGAGGCGGAGGTTTCAGAGAGCTGAGATTGCACCACTGCACTCCAGCCTGGATGAGAGAGCAAGAGTCCATCTCATAAATAAATAAATAAATAAATAAATAAATAAATAAATAAATAAAATAAAATAAACGAAGTGTCCCTAAGCCTTCCAGTGAACAAGAAGGTCATTCCGTAATTATGCCATTGATTTGGAAAAACAAAAAGAATAGAAAGCATAAGAAAACCAAGAAACACAAAAGGCTCCCTGAATCCACTGAATCCACTGCATATTTAAAGTAGTTACTGATATGACAATTAGGACTTACCTATAGTTGATAGGAGCAAGTTTAGTTTTCAAAATTTCAATGTATTTACACCTCAAAAGATTATAGGTCTAACGATTTTTAAGGTTACCAGAAGAAGAGAGAAAGAAAAAAATGGCACTACTTAATCATGCAGTACATCACAAAAAAGGCCAAATTTTCAGAAAAAAAATACATAGAAACACATAGCCTAATGAGTTTGGATGTATCGTTTGGAATTATTGGGCACCAAACTTGAAATTGAGACCATCATTATAACTCTGAGATTGACATTAGGCTATGTGCTTTGGCAGATATAAAGAATGCAGAATGAGACTAATGTCCTGTACAGAACCTACTAACAATGCACTTGAGAAAATTTCACAAGCAATAGAAAATTCTTTTTGCATTCTTTATCATTTTTAAATGACTTACTAAAGTCATTTAATACTATGGACCAGGCAAGAGACTGTAAAACAGTCATCTTCTCATGCAAATAATTCACGTGCTAGTCACAAAAGCACCTTGTTCAATATGATTTAAGGTTTCAACAATGATTTGTTAATATTTAGTTTTTGTTAGTACAGATTTCTTTGATGAGTTTTAAAATAGCCTACAATTTGTGTTCCTTCGTTAATTCAGATAGTTTTTTCCTTTTTATGTTAAAAGAATGTGACTGTACAGTCCCTTCCCATCTACCCTTATTAAAGTATCCTTCACTGTCTAAGAAAGAAAGAGGAGGCAAGGGTAATCTGATTGTCCTTCTATTCCTATCCTGGACAGAGGAGAGTGGTGAGCCATGGATAATTCATTTCTGTGCTCACCTTGCAGCCCATGGATTTGGAAACACTGACCTTAATCTAATCCCAAATTGTAGATAAACATATTTTAGCAATGGTATAAGCTAATGAGCATCAATAAACTGAGACTCGTCTGGGATTGTGTGCAGTCACACTCTGTAATCTGCAAGATCAAAACATACATTTGGCAGTGAAATGGCCATTATTCAGAGAGACAGCTTTTTAAAGAAAGTACCCTATCTATAGCTGAAAATAAGCTTTTTTATTTTTAAATGAAAAGAGGCTCTCTTCTTCCATTTAAGGATGCTTGACAGCTTTTCTTCCCGGGGGGGAAATGGTAGCAATAAGGAATTTGACAGAGATAATACTTGGAATTCAGATCTGGCCTTTCTCAGAGGAAATTTTAACAAAGGGCTGTGCCCTAACATGTCCATGGAAAACTCTGTCACTGCATCTAAACTACTGACACAAGAGTGGCTGAAAAAGAAACATTCATTCAGGTTTGAATACATGTAGCTGGACCCTCTACCCTCCTCACCTCCCACCCATTTTTCACTGGCAAAGATTAGATAGTCTGACACTATGTATATTTTCCATATAAAGTACAAATGCTGTAAACTTGGCGGTGGGGTAGGGAAAGAGAAAATGACTATAGGAAACAGCAGCACAATTTTAAGTAAAAGTAGAAAAGTGTTTCTGGGGAAGTTTCCATTCAAACGTAATAACTTAGAGTTTAATATTAGTCTTTAATGTAAGATAATCTTTTATGTTTTACTTTGTATATTTCTTGTGATAATTTTCTTAAAAGATATCAATTGAGGTATTTCATATTAATTTCACAATACAGTTGATAGCTTAGGTATGGCACAATTTTTAGAGATAATGGTGTTATCGGCTGTGATTTAATAAACGTACATTAATTTTCTCAGTCTCAGACAAACCTATGGCTCACAGAGGACACATGTAATAACTCAGTCTTTCATTAAACTGCAAGTTATACTGAGATACAGATATTGTTAATTTAGTTTTTATTGAGTACAAAATGCACTCCAGGTAGAAATCACTGCTCATTTAATCACTGTGTGTTAGGTTTGCATTATCTGGAATGTAAATTCCTCCCTTTCCTCAAAGGTGAGTCTTTTTTATGGAACTTGGGTTTCTTACTACACCTGCTCCCTATTCCCCAAATAAAACAGAGGCAAAGGAAATGAAAATGTTACCTGTTCATTGAATGTTCTTTCCAGTGACTGCTGTCAAGTTAAGGAATGTGCAGTCCTGTCCGATGTGTACACTGGAGGCTCACAATCATTAATTGAATTCAAGTATCACATACTCATTAAAAAGGGAAAACAATTCACTAAACAGCAAAAACCTTTGTCCTCAAAGGTATTATTCTGTGGAATATCCAGAGGAAAAATAAGACTGTCCTCAATACCAGAGTCTCATGATATAAGCCAAATGGCAAACGAGTCTAACAAGGGTAATTATACTATAAACATACATTTAAAAAATCATTGATATAGCCACAGAATACAGAATCACATGTCATTTGAATAATTTTCATTAATTGCTATACTTTGCATAGTTATATTTTGTAAATTCAAAAATTCATGCCTTGTTGCATGCTTCATATAAATAAAATAAAAAGAGTACATAAGGTAGAGGTCTAGAAAGGAATATTGGTCCCCACAAGGATTTTCTAAGATGCAGGAGGGATCAAGAAAACCTACAGCCAGAGTGAGGCACAGATCTGGCTTTGGCAAAGAATATTTTGTGAGTTGCCACTTTGCCTGCATCTATGCCCCCAGCTGAAAGCAAACTGGACCTGGTATTAGATGTGCAAAATGTATATCCTTTTAGGAATGCATGGAGGAGATAGAGTTGGAGAGGAGATTACATATATTTGAAAAATTCCGCTTACGTGAGAGCTTTGACAGGTTATTTTCAGGAACTATTTTGTTCGAGATCTTTTTAAATGCCTGGGATATTGGTTATAATTTATTAACTTAATTTTTAATAAGTCATCATTCTGTTACTTTTTTATTGGTCTGATTGAACAAACTCATTTTAATGTTATTTTTAAAAGAATATTAAATATATGTGGATAGAATTATGAGTTGTAAGAGGCACAGTGTTTGAAACAGTACGTATTTTATTAGGAAAATAGTCTTGTTTTCGCAAGTTTAAGACCTCTATTTGTTCCTCAGAGGATGCCTTATTGCCACTTGAAAACATGGCCAATGCTGTGGGGAGTAGACTCCATCAACTCACATTCAGCATTGTTTTGAGAATAGAAAAAAATTCTTTACTGTGACAGTGAGAGATTAGAAATTTGTTAGAACCATTTTATTTAAATTGCTGATGACTTTGTGTTGTGATCATTGGAGATTTCTTAATGTGATCAGCAAAACCTGGAAAGAAAAAACCTGAGCATTTATGTACAGAAATAAATAAGTTTACACTTAAGATAATGCCACAACTCAAAATAAAATCACAGTCCTTATATCCTTTCAGATTTTCATCCAAATTCAAAGAAAACTCAGTCCATGCATCTTTTCAGACTCATCAGTTTGCATGCATGTCACAGATTTGAAGGGTTTTGGTTATTTTTGCAGAGATATGATTAGGATGTAAAAATTCATCATATAAACATTCTTAATGATCAAGGAAGAACGTTTTAGACGAGTAATTTTCTATGTCTATGTAAAACTTTAGATGGGTTTAATAGTAACTCTCGAAGTAAGAGGAATTAAGTATTTTTTTTTGTATTTGAGTTAAAAGATAAAGACAAAAGAAAATAAGACCCACAATATTTTCTCCTATTTGGTTATGAAGAGAACAACTGGAGTCTAAAAATGCCACTTGCAGTATCTAAATGTCTATAAGGTGCTGGCACATTCTGTTACAAAACACTTGTCACCTCTTTTTCCATATAGAGGTAGGAACTGCAGTGGGAAAGTCTTCAGCTGTACAAATTTAAAAATGAATTTTTACAACCCAGATGATGGACTGGTATACTTTAAAAGTGAGCTCATGAGTTTTATAAACACATTTCTCTTGCTCTCTCTCTCTCTTTTTCTTGACTAGCTTACATCATAATGGAGGAATAACATTTTAAAAATTTTGAATAGGCACTTACTGGAATTACAGTTAATCCTGATACAATCTAGATGGGGAAGAATAGATGAAAAATGAAAATTCATCCTTCAAGGTAATAGCTGCAGACATCCAATAAAATTACAGTCCACCCTTCCGGGGACAGACACATGCAAATATGGCCACTCCATATCATTATTCTTTACATACTTATAAAGCCCAGATGTTTTGTTATAAAAGTTTACCATTGGAAACAACAATAGAAGGTTTTAAAAATGGCCAATTCAAACAAAGCTACATGGTGACAAATCTAAGTGAAGTAAAGAATTGTTAAATGTCAAAGATGTTTGGCTTAGACTGGCTGCAACTTTCTCCCCATCTGTGAAAGAACATATCATTGTTTTCCGCAAAATGTAAAAGTGCTCCGTCACAATGGGGTACAGTGCAGGTTCAGCTAGGCTCAGACATCTTGGACCTCCGAAATCTAATATCCCACAAAGGCCAACAGAATCCTTCAGAATTGCAGTGGTCAAATGGAAAGCAAGTTAAAATTATTCTTATCTTACCCTAAGGGTTTTTGTTTTGTTTTTAAATTTTATTTGCTTGGGCATAAAAAGGTAACTGCCAGATGTTGGCTGGATTCCATACCTTGCGTTAATTGGAGGAGGAAAGAAACAACTGTATGTTTCCTTTAGAAACTCCAGTGGCTAAGGAGCAGTCATTATTCAAGGCACACAAGCCTATGCCTCTCTTAGGAGCTAACAGTGTTATCTCTGTGTAATAAGTGTCGTGGTTCCCTTGATTTTCCTTTCTTGATTTTCCCTTTCTTATATTTGCTTTATATAAAAGTAGCTACTATAAGAACAGAACGTCTTGTATGGGTAACACAAACTGTAATTATAGTGGTTATTTTTAAAAGACTGTAGGATGTTTCATATTTATTTTATATGTATTTGTTGGTTTGGGTTTTATTATTTAATGCCTTTGGAGAACATAAAAAAATAAACCTAGATTCTGTTTCCATATAGCTGAGTTTGTCATGTGTCGTCAACCGCATCAGAAAAGTGGTTGCAAACAGCCAAGGACCAGCACCTACACACCTCTTTCTACAGAATGCTTTGCTGTTCGAAAATTCTCATGAGTGTTTCCACTTTGACTAACAGCAGCTTTACTGCATGCAATTAGGCGATTTGTTTTGATTGGCTTGTAATAACCTGTCATCGTCACTAGAGGGTACTCTAACAGAACAGTAAAGGAGAGTGCTCTGTGTTCTTAAAGTAGTATTTTTTTAACCTTAATATTTAACTTAATTTCACTAATATTAATTAAATATGATTATATGCAATAAGATACCAATGGGATAATTTTATATTTTATGAGTTATCGTTCTGCCCAGCACAATTTGAAAATGTAGGTGGGGTTTCCACAAATGCCTTGCCTCATCACATTTTATTACTCCTTTTTTGGGGTAAATCTATGTAGTTTCAAATTTCATTTTTCCCTCTCTGTTTATTCATTTCTATATACGTGTGTTTAACACTGTCAAAAATACAGTAAAACCTCATTAATTTTGACTCCTCTTATTTTGAAATAATGATAACACTGAAAATTTGGGCAGAGTATTTATTCTTCCTTTGATATGAGCAAAGATCTCTTAAGAAAAAAAATTAAACTCATAAACAAACAAGACTTTGAAAAGCCAAGCGTGGGAAGAAAACTGATTTCCAATACTTCATGTTGATGGCATAGTTTGCATGAAACGATGTGCTAATTATAATTAATTTTTATCCAACCATTAAAATCAGCCTAGAGAGCCCTTTCCGTGATAAGACTTTCCAAACTATTATGTTTTTGAGTATAATTTATAAAAATAAAAACTGCTTAAACAAATTTTAAAATCTGCAATTCAGACTTTTTCCTAATTCAGCCTGGTTTTTCCCCATAATTCATCTAGATTGGTGAGGTTTTACTGTAATGGGTCTTTCTTAATGCTACAATTAAGCAGGAAAGCATTATCTTTCTGTAGAAGAGCCTGTGTCTCTAGTGTTCTCATGGCTGTTTGCTAAGGGCCGCAGACTTTGGGCATTGAAGGGCTGTGGATCGCTGTTTGATAGCAAAATACCACCACACAGTACTCCGAAACAGAAAAGACAGGGTACCACAAAGGTGATTATTCAAAGGAGAAGCCCATGGAGTAGAGTAAGAACAGCTCTTGATCTAGATAACAAAGCAGAAATTTGATATTTTGTGCAAATCCTTTCTAAGAAGACATGCTTTTATTTATCTGCAAGGATGTCACCTACAACCGATCCAAATGTCAGTGAATATATCAACAGAAAATTCAGCTTGAGGCAACCTCAGGCTTAATAATTTATATTTTCAATTAACCTCACTGACAGACATGGCCTCTCTTTTAAGAACCCTCAGTGGTAGAAATCACAAAACAGTAAGTTATGTTAAACATAAAAAATAAAATAAAAAATAAAAAGATGCCCCCGAAAACCTCAAATTACTTTAAATGATGGAAATAAGACCATTAAGTGTTTTAATTTTCCATGGCAAACAGGCTACTTGATCAATGTTTGCAGGCAAATTGAACAAAAAGTAAAAAAGTGTTAGTTCAATGGGGGAAGGCAGGTTGTTACCTAGATTGACCGTCAGTTTCACACGTCCTGCGTCTAGCTCCAGGCGGAGGGTGTCAGCAGAGTCTCTAGAAGTGGTTGCCATCAGAATGCCATATGCACGCTGGGATCGGAACCGTAAGGAAACATCCTCAGCCTCCGTATGCATGACTACGGGGAGCTGAATTTTCATAAACATGCTCCCATCATAGCTCAAAACCGTTGCCTCTAGAGATGGAAAATGAATATGATAAGTTCTTGGATGGTATAGCGCATTAATACTTTAAAGAGGAAAAGGATCATTTATTATCATTTATTTAAGACTTCCAGAACACAATACTACAAAATCAATTCATCTTCTTCAGAAATAAACAAAACTGTGAGCTGGAAAGAGAAGTCACAGTAGAGGACTTCCCTTGTGAGATATTTGCTAAAGCCCAGAAACAGAGATATCAGCAGTTCCTTTTTTTTTGTTCCCAGAGCACTTTCTACCTATAGCATTAATCATGTTGAATTTTGAGTGTTTGATTATATGCCCCCCTTCTCAAGAGCAAAGATCACGTTCTTTTGTACAGCCACAGTGTGAGCCTAGTTTGAAACACCAGCGAAGTTGTGGATTTTTTTGTTGTTGTTTTTGTTTGGGTTTTGTTGTTGTTTGTTTGTTTGAGACAAGGTCTGTATCCCCTAGGCTGGAGTGCAGTGACAGGATCTCAGCTCACTGCAGCCATGACCTCCTGAGCTCAAGCAATCTTTCCACCTCAACCTCCTGAGTAGCTGGGACCACAGGCGCATGACACCATGCCAGGCTAGCTTATTATTAATACTTTTTTCTAGAGATGGGTCTCCCTTTGTTGCCAAGGCTGGTCTCAAACTCCTGGACTCCAGTGACCCTCTCGCCCAGGTTCCCAAAAGGAACCTGTGCCCAGCCTCCAGCAACTTTTCAATGCATGTTTATGTATGGTAAGCCCACTGACTAGTTCTGTGAAATTAGTCAACCTTGCCTTGGCTCTGAATTATTCATCTGCACAATGAGAGGGTACTGCCAGAAGGTTTCTCAGGGCTTTGATCTGTTCTGAAAACCTGTAGTTCTAGGAGAAGTTACTGTCATCATTTTTTTTTCATAATCTCTGCCCTGATAGAATTATTTTTAAAAGAAAAAAAAAAGAAATATAGCTTAACTATAGGAACTAGGCCAATACTTTACCAAAGGTGATGTTCAAAAAGAAAAAAGAAAAACTGATATTACCAAACAACAGATAATACTTCTTTTGAGCCATTATGTTTAGCAAGGTAATTTTTACAAAGGCTTCCTTTTAAGGAACTGTTACTTCCTTTTAAGATTAATTTATAGAAGGGGAGTAACTTTAAATATTATCTATAAGCACAGCCCTGGTGTCCTGAATAAGTTCTCATGCAAAGCAGTAATGATGTGCTTTTGCTACACTAAATAAGCATGGGGGTGGGACTGGGGAGCTTGTGAGGATGTTTGTTACTAAACTAAGGCAGATGGCATCAGTAGGGAAGTTGCTTAGTACTGTCTTAAACACACAAAGAAATGAATAAAAAAAAAACTGTTGATGACAACCTGACGGCTTTAAGAAATAGTCAGGACTCCTTAATGTTAAGCACCATATGGTAGTGGAATATTGCAAAACAAGCGTGAATCAGTTTGCTTTCTCATTGGTTCCGATAACTCAGGATGCTACTTAATAAAGAAAAACTACCTGGAATTAAAATGAACCAGGAAATTTTCATTATTTTGCCTACTTACACAGCATAGCAATTAAGTGTACTGATACAACTGTGTTCAATATTAGGACTATATTTAGAGTTGTGGTTTTGTAAGTTTATTTTTCAGAAAGTCAAGTACTGTTTCTATAAGACTTTAATCACTATTTGTTGTCATGATGGGATTAAGTGAGAACCAGAACCTCTCTAAGCACTGAGTGTTCCAGGTCTCCCTGCTTAGGTTAGCTCCCTTCTCTTTTCCATCTACCTCTTGACTTAAGAGATCTCAGTCAACTCATATGCTCACTCCTCTAATATTTATTAAGCGTTCTGACTTCTCTCCTGAGCTGTAGCATTCATTGCCTATTGGAAATTTTCAATTGGAATATGAAATTTCAATTGGAATATTTCAATTGGAATATTATTAAACTCTTGATTTACTCCCTTCAAAAATGAACAAACTCAAAACATGCTCCTTCTTCAGTCTTCTCCATCTCAGTAAACATGATAATCTCATTGCTCAGACCTAAAGCTTTCTGATTTCTCTTACTCTCTCTGCCATGTCCAATCCATTTGCAAGTCTGCAAGTCCTAAAGGCTCTAATTCCAATCCACATTCTGAATTGATTGCTGTTCACCTCTGCCACTAATGTCCCTCAGACTTTGCTCTCATCTCTCACCTACACCACTGTAGTAGCTCCCTCAACCGTGTTCCTACTTTTTTAAACCTACAAAGATCAGTGTGACCCTGGCCCCAGTCCATCTCTCTGGCCTCAGCTTTAAGTATGTCCCGCTTCTTGTTCAGTGAGCTCCAGATACACCAATTTCATGATCTCACTGAAGTGTTTGCACTTTTAGATCCCTCTGTTTAAAAATGTTTCACCCCAGATCTTTAAATAGCTGGTTCTTTCAGCATTTAGGTCTCTGCTCAAATGTTACTCCAGAGAGACCTGCTACCCACTCCAGTTATTCAATATATATTCATCATTTCACTTTGTTGAAATGACCATTTCTTGTTTGTAGAGTATTATCTGTATATGCCCTTTAGAATACAAGTACCTTGAGGGCAGAGATCAGTCTCTCATATGCATTGCTCTATCAGCAGCAAGTGCCCCCACAATGCCAGGCCCACAGCAGAGCCTCCATAAATATTAATTGAATCAATAATTGCACACACACACACACACACACACACACACATACACACACAGTGAGCTAATTTCAATTTGAATACCAAGCTTACATAAAAGCTTACCAAAGAAATTAAGTATTTATTCTGCTTATTGCAAGTGAAATCTAATTTCAGTACTGTGCATGAACGAAATATGTAATAAGGTCCACTTTGAAGGCCAAAATTGGGCTGCAGAAGATAGGCTAGGGAAGTGTCTATTTATCAAAACAGGGGCCTCATGGTTAGGCAATGCCCTAAGCACTGATAAAACAAAATATGGTCTTTCAAAAATATAGTGGTTCTATATAATATCATATTTTTTTCCAATTAGACAAAAAGTTTCCCAAATGGGAGTAAAATCCCAGTGGTCAAAGACCAGTGCAAATAATCAAATTGCTGTTGCTCAAAAAATAATGAAAACCTGAGTGTAAAGTTATAGTGAATTCTAGAGAGAAAAATGCTTGTGGTATAATTTTAAAAGAAATTTGATCTTTACTTTTGTTTTTCCTAAACTAGACAATCATGACCCATATCTGTAAAGCAACAAGCACCCGAATAAAAGTGTAAAAGTCATTATCATGTGTTCAGTTACTTTGGTTTCATATAGATAAAAGGATCAAAACAGTGTTTGTTTTCTCTTCTTTATTTAATCTCTATAACTAGGCTCTATTATTCAATAATCACATTTTTGAAATAATCATATTCTTCTGGGAAAAGTAGCTTGATTTGATTGAAAACTAAATAGGGGGCACCTCCTTTAAGAAATACAGATGACTGACAATGGATCATAAATATAGTGTGAAATACAACCCAGAGAAAAAAATAATCAGAATCATTAGCCTTTAACATTCTCCAGAAAGCTGCAGGACTGAAATAACATAGTAAAGTAATAAAACTAGAGTGCCCCCGAGTGTCATGTTAAATAATTCTCAATGTGAAAATAACTTGTTGATAAATGACAAATGAAAGCCTAAACGATTCCTCACAATTAGAGTTAATGTTTAATTAGACAAGAAATGGAAAATGCACAGGGTTGTAGTCTAGAGTTGCCAAATAAATGGTAAACAACATTCTGACATTTGAAGGTTATGCTATTTGGCAGCATCCTTGAACACTAGTAAAATTATTTCATCATTTAGAATATACAATAATTCTTTAAAAGGCTAATTCCAATACAATACTTCCCACTGGGGGAGAAAACCAGTTTCAACTTTGTCTTCTATATCTCCTTCTCCCTTGTCATTAAGTTTGATAAATTTCCTTTTCTACATTATTCTTTGTTGCAGTCTAAAGTGTACACCTGTGCTCAGTTTTGCCGAAAGGCAGTCACATATTGTGATCAACGATGAAAATCAGACAGGGAGCCAAATTATATTGCTCTGACATCTGTCCCTCCATCTGTTAGAATTTAACAAACAGTATAAAGCAGATCTCTGATTATATCAATGCTCTTATTCTTACATATAACAGAATAATTTTTATATGATCAAGTCTCCACAAATTCTCAGTTTTATTAAAAATAAAGCAGAAGGGAAGGCGCTAAATTTAACTTTTATTCATTGAACATTATTTCTGTACTACTCCTTCTTATAGGATCAATACATGTAAAACAAAATACTCTCTTCTTGTCTGCCTAAGTTAGCAAGTATCTTATTCTTTCTTATAAACTCCTTTGCTTCCTTAGGCATGATAAACATCTCCTATAATGCAATTGCAACATAATTTTTCCATGTTGAACTTTCTAAATCCAAGGAGCTGAACATGTTTTTTAATTACTTTGAATAATTATTTTCATAAATTATAAATTATCAATTTTTGCTCAAAGTTAATAAGAAAACAACTTTAAAAGTTCTCTTAAAAAAAGAAACTTCAAGAGTTGTCAACTCTTATTTGATCAACAACAGCCTTAAGTGACCAATGTGTGTCTGGAGAAGAAACTCTGTCAAAGCCCCCTGTTTTAAATTGGAAATTCGGAGGTTCAGGCACAATCTTGTGTTAACTGAACTAGGGCATAATAGCCACGAACTGGGCAGAAGCCAAATTTTGTGGTATTGAGCATGACAACCATCACACATTTCCTTTGCTTTCAGGAGGCACCCTAACGTGAGCAAGAAAATTACTTCTGAAAAGCAAAGGACTCACGCAATACACATGGGTAGTCCAGTAACAAGAACCACCCAAAAATGCATACAGCCAACCTGGAGACAAAGAAATCTGCAGAAACCTGCAGCCTCCTATCAGATAAAGACGTATGCTGAATCCCAATGATGAAGTTTGCTATTAAATTCTCATTTACAAATCTACATATGCTTGCTGCCCCTTTTTCTAATCATTGCAATATATAAATATTTCTTCTCTCATCCTGGCTCTGAAAGATCTACAATTTCTATTTTCATTTTTGCCATAGGTAGTAGCGGAATATTGCCACAGGGTGGTACACCACGCATAGTTAACAGAAAGCTTCCGTAATTCATGTGACAGTTGAGTTATACCCTTTTTTCAGCTTCACTTAACCAAGAGGCATCAGAACAACTGGCAGCTCTCTGGGTGATTAAAATTAAAACAAAACCTTAAATCGTGCAAGTCCGCTAATCTCATATTATGCGTAACTGTATTATACCTTGCAAGCTTTGTTACATTGTTCATCCTTTTGGCAATTTCCAAAAACAAAACTAAACAAACAAACTAAAATTAGGAAGCAAAATGCAAAGAGGAAACTTATAAAGAATATACACCATACTAACTAAACTATATAGAAATAGCTAAGTTGTATTGACAATTCACAGAAATGCCGGTTAGGTACTATCATAAAGAGAATGAATATATCTGTATCTATGTGATAACATACCCGTCTACTGACCCATCTAATTGCATGACCTACAATAATAACAGCATATGGTAAGTGGTTTAATATATGATTTCTATGTTACTATTAAATATTTATATTGTTAATATTAATCTCAGAACTAATAAGTTGATGTACCTCCTTTTTAAGATAAATAACCAAAATCAGGTTTCAATTTTGGGTTTCACAAAACAACCCCTCTTTTTCCTAGGAGGTTTTCGGCAAACTGAACTGAACTATTTCAGGAATAAAAAAGGGAAACAATAAATATTCATAGCTTAAAAATAGATGCCAGGTAATTTTAGGCTAAATATGTAATAAAGCAATGTTATTTGTAGCAGGTGAGGACAATGGAACAACTCATCAATATTTTTTCATATTGATTTTTAGTTCCATTGTTGAAAATAAGTGGCAATAGGTGTAGTGACTAAAGCATTTATCTGAAACACTGGGTCGATGGAAGAATAAACTTAGAACTATTTGTTCTGCTATTTATTCCTTTAGCCTGTTCTGCAGATCAACTGGGATGGCTATTGCCCTTCAGTTTTCTTTGAATCCTCATTCCTTTTATTGTATAGGGTGAAAAAAAAGAAAAATAAAATGTGGGTTTGCCTCCTGTTAGAAAAAGAGAGGCAGCACCTGCTCAGAACTTCAATAGGCACAGCTAAGTCTTAACAGCAAATTGGTAAATGAATCCTCTGCAGTTGGTTAGGTCCTAGCCAAAGGTAAGTACTTTTTCTATTAGGGTACACTTCCAGAAATGTTGGTGCACCTTAGATGATTGAAAGTCAGCTTACTTTTCAGAGAGGATATTGCCTCTTTTGTAAGTTGACTGAAGTGAAATGAGCAGGCTAACTTAAGTCTCACCCAGTTGTGTCAGGGAAGTTGCAACTCATAGCTTAGCTTGCCTCAAATGCTATTTCTTAGCATGGGTATTAGCACTAGAAGCCATAGGTATGTATAATTCATGCCTCTTTTACTGTCTAATGTTCTGAAGTTAAAAACTGGGCAAAAAAGACAGCAGTTACTGTCTATAATACATCTTAGGCTCATACTCTAGAGGATACTAAAGATTCAAGTTTCTATTCCTGCAATATACTTAAGAACTGTGTCCTTTCAGAATCAAGCTCTTTGAAAAACATTAAGAGCTCATTAGTAATCCATGTCAGGTATGGCTGCTCAGCTTGCAAACAGAGTTTACTTCAGTAGAGTATACATTACGTTTCAATGGTCAGTGCAGGTTTGAGGTCAACATTTAATAAACTTTTCATCTCAGGGAGTTGGCTGCTGGGGTTTTAGAATCCTACCTCTCTCACAGGACCTGCCAAGATAGCCTGTTCCGGAACAATCACAGACATATCTGTTCCACCCATCCCTGCACATGCCATTGTTTTTGCAAGGGTTGCTAAGGCACGGTTTTGCTGTTTCCTTTGAGCAGGAAGGCTTCACTCCAGCAGTACTTTGAACTTCAGCCATTTGCCGGATATCTTTGCTTTGGCCATCGATGAACAAATCCCTGATGCAGCCCACGTAGCCATAGTTGAGCAGAGCAGTCCACACCTCGGTGGGGAAGACAAGGCCAGCTTTATTTTCTGGCAGCCCCCCCAGGTACAACTCATCATCCAGGTCCAGAATCTCACTCTCACCAGGAGCAGTGTAGGGAGTACGCAACGTGTTGACAGAAATGGTACCTATTTCAAAGAGAGGAGAATGCACAGGTCTTTAAAAAGCACCAACGTGTTATAATTATCTTTCTCTCTTTCGTCTGCTTGATGGTTAACTCCTTGGAGGCAGACAATTATTATTATTCTTTCTGTCCTCACTTTTTGGTATTTCCTAGAGAAATTAAGATATCTGTGGTATTAAGAAACTTTAGAAATAAAACAGACTAAATGGTTCCATTTGAACTCGAGAATGGAAACCTAAGTGTACAGCCAACAAATAGTGTTTGAGAGCCTCAAACAGTTCAGTCAATGCATGTATACATACATTAAAAATAAAGAAACTGTAATTCTGTATCAGTCTCTAGAAGAAAGTCAGATTCCCCTGGGTTAGTGCTTGTTTTCAAAGCCAATATTCAATTGCAATCCAAAGAAAGATTTCATGTTCCTATTTTAACTGACTTGATTACTTTGATTGAGCACAATAGTTTCACAGATTACCTATGTCAAAACCTGACTTCATCACTCCTAGCTGTATAAACCTATTGATTAACTTACATAGTTTTGTTTCCCTTACTCATAATATGCGCATAATAATATTACCTACCTTATAGAGTTGCTCTTAGTGTTAAACAAAATAATACTAGTAATGTACATGGTTTATAATAATCACTGTATAAATGTTTGTGATTATATTTCAGTGAAAGAATCAAGTAAAACCAATTGCTTCCTTATTTGTAAACCAAGCTAGTTATTTATTTAAATTAACAAGGCTTTCTTTTTCTCACTCCAAATGTTAAGGAGAAAAATCTATTGGTTTATAAATACAAGGGCTCTAAGTCCTAAGTATGGAATAACCAGGTATTCATCTACATGGGATCATTTGAGGGTCACAGAAAAATATTAGTGGAATCTATGAAAAAAAAAGAAAGATATAAAGCATATTCCTGATCAAAACGTGCATACACACTGTCAGATTACCAAAATTCCACTGATACTTTATCTTCAGAAAGACCTTTGTACAAATGCAACCATGATACCTGAACAGAACACCACAAGGACCCACAACCACATTATCCCAGATTTATTTCTCAGCTCCAGATTATAAGAAAGGATAGGAAGAGTCTGATGAGAGAGAGAGGATGAGAAAAGGTCTGATAGCATGCTGGGGCATGGGTATAGAACCTCAGGTATTTAGGGAAGAGACACAAGAGAGACCTGGAGATGGGAGGTGTGATACAGAAGTAAGGACAAAAAGAAGAAGTGGAGGGTAGGTCAGGTGTGTGTAGGGAGACACATTTTAGTTGCTACACAGAATACCAAAAGCCCGCCCCAAGTGAAAACACATATCTAACTAAGGATGTAAGGCTGTGGGCCCTGATGTGCCCAGGAGTATTCCAAATCCCAGCAGAAGGGCCCCCTTCAATCTAGGCAGTCTAATGGGATCTGTCTTTGTCAGGGAGAAGGGCATGGAAGCCACTGACAAAGACTGCTCAGGTGGCCGAGTCATTAAGAGGATATTTGGCTCTCTAGACTTTCAGAGAAAGAAAAGGGAAAAGCTCCTAGGGGAGAAACACTCAAAGGCATTGCTATTTTGGCCTTCCAATGAGGGGAGCAAAATAGAGATTTCCTAGGGAAGCAGCTAAAAGAGAAAAGGACAAAGTATTCATTTTTACTGTTCACATTTGTACAAGTGTCTAGAAGAAAACTCTCATTTAGGAACATATGGGAACCATAAAATCCTATTTAGAAAAATATAAAGCATGGCATTTTGGGGAAATAAAATTTATAATATTGAAAGAGAATGGTGGCTCTTTTCTATTTCAAATGGAACGATCATTACACGCATTTTAAAGCATCATTTTTTATATAGCCCTATTCAAAATACCTAAGAAGCGAATAAACAGATGGTCCCTATCCTCTGCAGTAGCTAATGAAAGTTAGAATATGATGAGAAAGAGTGTCTTTTAATGACAAAAGGAAAGGTGGACACTTTAAAAAGCACATATTATCATGGAAAGCAAAGAGTTACATGCAATGAACAAAGTGCCATGTTCTTTTTTTTTTTCTTTCTGAGACAGAGTCTTACTCTGTCACACAAGCTGGAGTGCAGTGGCAGGATCTTGGCTCACTACAACCTCTGCCACCTGCTTTAAGCAACTCTCATGCCGCAGCCTCCCAAGTAGCTGGGATTACAGGTGTACGCCATCACAGCCAACTAATTTTTGTATTTTCAGTAGAGATGGAGTTTTGCAATGTTGGCCAGGTTGGTCTTGAATTCATGGCCTCAAGTGATCCACCCACCTTGGCCTCCCAAAGTGCTGGGATTACAGGCGTGAGCCACCACACCCAGCCAAAGTGACATGTTCTTAAATAAAAGAGAGAAGGATTCTACTCTATTTTCCAATTAGTTCAATAAGGCCTCCTAAAAGCCGTAGAATTTTTGAGGATTTGACGAAATGAATATCCACTATTGAGAAATTGAGAAGAAATGTTAGGAGACACGGAACTTAGCAAAGGAACAATGACAAATTATTCCAAGTGTGGTGATATATTCAAATATACATATATATAAACATATATGTATGTATGTATTCCCATATGCTCTTTTTATTCAGCTCAGATGGGGAAAAAAGCCCTGGGAAAGGCTGTACTGTCCTTGCTCAGGGTATCGTAATTCTGACACTAAGAGGACTCCTGGAGGACTCCTGAGTCGAGGAAATTCATTGGCTTCCACAACCCACTTTCTCCCTCTATTCCATGTAGTTTCCATACCTTGGTGCACTGTGTCTGCACTCACTCTAAGGGGCAAAACGGCTGCCAGGTGGTTTAGACAATCATTCATTACAGTTTGTCTGACAGTAAGGATGGAGTAACTGTGTCTCTTGATTTTTATTTATGGTGTGTTAGTGCTTGCTTTGAGCAAAGTATTGTAAGAGAGTTCAAATAAGTTATTTTAAGAATGTGCTTGATGATATGGACAGGGTAAGATTCTTACTACAAATTTATCATTAGACTTGAGTTTTCTGAACACGGTCATAGAGACCACAATTTTCAAATATCCCAGTGCACACTTAAACACACATCCACCCACCCACCCACACCCACACACACACTCTGAAACAAATGTTTAAAAGAAAAAAAAAATATTCAACTCTACAGCCTCTGAAGCACTTTGATATTTTCTCTCTCATCATATCATTTTATTAAAACAAATGCTGGACCATCAATGGATTTTAGCACCAGCTAAAATGTTGTAACCCATGGTACAAAAAAATAAATAAAAAACAAAAACAGATTTAAGGGTTACTATCATAAAGAGTAAGTTTCTCCCATAGTTCCCTATTGTCCCTTTGAGAGACAATTGTAGAGTTCTCATAGAAAGAACAAGCAGGCCAGGCGTGGTGGCTCATGCCTGTAATCCCAGCACTTTGGGAGACCAAGGCGGGTGGATCACCTGAGGTCAGGAGTTCGAGACCAGCCTGACCAACATGGAGAAACCCCATCTCTACTAAAAATACAAAATTAGCCGGGCACGGTGGTGCATGCCTGTAATCTCAGCTACTCGGGAGGCTGAGGCAGGAGAATCGCTTGAACCTGGGAGGCAGAGGTTGCGGTGAGCCGAGATCACGCCATTGCACTCCAGCCTGGGCAACCAGAGCAAAACTCCATCAGAAAGAAAGAAAGAGAGAGAGAGAGAGATAGAGAACAAGCAACAAAACATGAGACAGAAAGAAAAAGGGATATAATCCTACCTTTAATTCAAATTTAATCCAAGAAAGACTAGAACTTAAATTGAGCTCTGGATTCAAAGTTAAGGAGACACATCAGGCAAATGGATGGATCAGATATCAGTCATTGGAATATTATGCAAACAGACATCATAGGATGAAGAAAATAGGGCTGAAAATCAAGTACTACTTTATCTATATGCTTTGCTAATTCGTATGAACTTGTATTTTAGAAAATCTTTGTAAAAGAGATGGCAAATAATCAGAAAGTAAAGAATTTAGTTCAAGTGGGATGGAAACAATTATTTTTATATTTTGAAAATTCATGGAGTAAAAATGGTTAGAATTAATAATTAAATTTTATTACTGAGACAAATGCAAATAGAAGTTTATATTTTAGCCTAAACATGTGTCCTGAAATAGACACATTTCCAATAAGGGATTTGAATCCCAGACCTCCTTAATGACTTTTACTATGGATATGAATCAAAGAACATATTCACCTAGCAAAAGAGTCATCACAGAATCCGAATTAGTTTAAACCAATTTAACTCATAGATATGAGCATAGTGAAATTTAAATATTAAGGTTCCCGTGTGCTTATTTTATTAAAATTGAGTTATAAAATCAGTGGTTACAAAGAACACATCAAATTAATATTTAAACCTGGTTCATTGATAATTGAAGACAATTGAGTAGTTGCCAAACTCTATATATCAATGGAAAAGGAGAATTTTCAAAGGCTGAGGTACATAAATGTTATAAATACATTTTTAAGAGAAAACAAAAATCTAAATATATTAATGGGTCATCCCTCTATCTTTTTCCAGGAACCACAAATACTGACATGTTCTTTTTTAAATAGTTTGATTCCTTCATACATTCTACCCCTTCTACTGAATTTATATTTGCAGTTTCTGGTAAATTAACAAAATATTTTATGTAAACATTGTTACATTAAGGCTCCTAAAATTGGGGAAAAGTTCATATTTGAGAAATTATCTAGATCAGGGTTTCATGCTTCACTATTTAAGAATCTGAAGCACCCTGCTATGCTATTTTATTTTTTAAAGGAATGAGATCGCAACTAAAAATAAATTATTTGTGGACATACAACTTTTATAATTTTAATGTAGAAACGACATTACATTATATTCTTACATGTAAAGCTGTTTTTTCACGACACATGTAAGAGGTAAAATGAAGGTGATAAGCAGACAAGGTAATATTTAAGAATATTCATAAACAAGTAATAAATTTATGTTTCTTGTAAAACTGTATGCAAAGGTTCAAAAAACTTTTTAAAACAGCTCTTAGTTATAAAAGTGGAAATGAAATTTACAACGTAGTGAGGTAGTTTTTCATTACCTATTAGTTTCCATTAACTTTTCTATCCTATTTTTATTGTCTGTTCTACTTCCATAAGATTAGTTTACAGGGTGAGAAGAAACACAGAGTGAAGGTGAGATTTAAAATAAGTTAAGTTGATGTCAAGAGTTAAATTACTTCACAAGTTTAAATTACTAGGAAATGAGGAGTAGAAAATAGTGTGCTGTAATAGGGAACCCTTTTTCCTGGTGAGAAAATCCGATGTTCCAGCTCTTCAACTAACTAGCTAGCAAGTTTAGCCAAAGGATAGATCTGTTAGGCTTCAATGTGGCTCTTATGAAAAATAAAGAAATTCAGTAGATGGATTATTAAGATTCATTTTTGAATAAACAATCTTTAAATTACTGCTTAAATGAATTGTTTAAATTAATGTCAATTTTATCTATACTTAATTCTGCTCCACCTGTCCCTACACAAATGAATCAGATTTCACAAAGTTACAAATTTACTTGTCAAATTCCTAGTCTAATAACAAATTCAAACTTGATGAAATATGCACAACATAAGTAATAAAAACAGAATACAACATTGACAATAGGGTATAATGTAAAATGTAAAATATATAATTATCATAAAATAATTTTAAAAAAGAACCAACATATTAAGAGTGGGTATTTGGTGACAGTGTAATTATGAGTGTTATTTAAAAAATTTCTGTATCTTTTTTAAAACCAATGTTATCTATGAGGTTTTTAAAGAAATAAAATTAACTGTATTTGAAAACAAAACAAAAATACCATCTTAATATTCCACTCTCTGCTTATTACCATCTGTTTTCTGCTTACTTGATTCATCTGTGAGCTGGGAACTTCAGGAATTAAATCAATATATGAAAACAGAACTCTAATGACAAAAATTTAAAAGTTTAATAATGTCTGGTATTGGCAAGAATAAGGGGGAAAGGGCACTTCAATAACTGTAGATAAGAATGTAAATTGAAACAGCAGTTAGTAAACTAACCTGTCATTGTCTTTCAAAATTAAAATTACAATTAATCCAGCAATCCCAATTCTCACATTCAATCCTAGAGATATTCTGACCAATATACACAAAGATTTCATGTATGAAGGAATTATCTATAAACTAGTTTAAAACAGTGAAGGTTTAAAAAAGTAAAAATTCAAATGTTCTTCCATAGAGAAATGCCTAAATATCAGTATGTTCAAACTAAGGTATGTATGGTGTCACTACAAAGAATGGCACAGAAAAAGCTATCTTTAAGTTTTTTTGTTACACAGTAATTGGTAAACTATAATCTTGACTATAGAAAAAAGGCTGTATAAGTATTTTATGTGTGTGAACATATTTATAGATATATTGATGCCTAGAAGAAGAACTGGGAATTTTTCAACGCCAAATTATTTTAGTGGTTATCTATGGAGAACAGAGTAAATTGATGAGGGAATGTATGGTAAGGGGAAACGCTTCACTTAGCTAGTTTTTGAATTGCCTGAACGTGTTCACCAAAAGTATGTATTTATATATTAAATACATCATGCATTACAAAAATGCACATATATAAACACACATACACATTCACAGCAATGTATAGACACATATACATTTTAAACATGATCATACACAATGGAAGGTTGTAAATATCAATCAAATAACATTCTGCAGCAATTGAAATATTATTTTGCAGAAGTTCCACAGATTTCCACTCAGCATTCCACAGTAAGGGTCACTAGGTCCGCGTGTGGTCAGTAAACTGCCTATCTTCTTAGGGTGCTACTGATGCCATAGTCCAGAGTCTGCCCCTTAGCTAGGCAAGCCCAATGAAGAGATTTGGTAGATTTTCAGAGGGCGGTTTCATTTCCCAGGTTTGACTGATATTTACTAACTCCATAACAGCAATGTATAAAACAAGAATGCCAAGTTATTGATTTCCTCTGAGGAATTACCTATTACAGGACATGAAATACTTCCCATGTAGCTCTGCCAATATGGATGTCAATTATAATCAAATATTACTTATTCATTTATGATGAGAAATTTACTTGTTACAGGAATGTGAATACTCATATGCATTCCTCAGTATCTGTGGAAATTGGTTCCAGGATCTCCTGGAGACACCAAAATCTGTGGATACTTGAGTTCCTGATACAAAATGGCTTAGTATTTGCATATAACCTATGCACATCCTCCCATGTACTTTAAATCATCTCTAAACTACTTATATCTAATACAATGTAAATGCTACATAGTTATTATACTGCATTGTTTAAGAAACAATGACAAGAAAAAATGTCTGTATATATTCAGAGCAGACTCAATTTTTTTCCAATTATTTTCAATCCATAGTTGATTGAATCCACAGATGCAAAACCCACAAAAAATGGGGGGCCGGGCCGACTGTATACATAACTGGTCTATTTTCTCCCTCCACTCTAATCAGACTTACAATGGGAACTAAATCTTAATCAAAAGAGTGCATGGGGAACATGGATTCTGAACAAGAAGAATGCATGAGATAAGGAAATGTATAGTAATATTGGCCTGGGAAGGCTTGACACCCTTATCTCAGTTAAATGACCTGCCTCCATCTTTACAGTGGGGATGAAGTTGTCAAGTTCGCTAAGCAGTGTTCAGAAGATTACTGCTAATATTTGCCCCTGTGAGTTTCTTTTCTTTAGATATGTTAATACATTTAAGTTCTACAAGCCCAGGGGCCTAGCTCAGGTACTTCTGAAAAGCTCTGCTCTGAATCTTTGCTTATGATTCCATAATTCCCAGAAAATAAATTTTGCTACTTAGATGATCTTGAGCAAAAGAGTACATAACACCATATTAAACAGATAGCCTGAAAAATTATGTTTATACTCTAACTGCAACTATATAAAATATATATAATGTTAACAAAAACTGAAGGAAAATGTACAAATATAAAAAATACTTTGAGTGTGGAGAAACAATAAATGATTTTTTTCTATAAACTTCTTCAGAATAAATAAATATAAACATTTTAATAAAACTTAACATTACAATTTTAAGCAAAATTGACCCCATCTGGTCATATGATCAAAGAACTAGTAAATTATTGGTAAGGTATTTCGGTGTTTCCTCTGATGAATAGTGGTTTATGGGTGTGGATATGAAACAAAATATAAATGCACTTAAAATTACTTCAATGTATATAACAGGCTACTAGGCAGAGGCATGGGAGGAACATTTACAGTCAGAGGGCAAGTTCAAACAAGACCTAAGCAGAGAAATTGTCTAATGGTTGCTCAAGTAGAAATGTTTAAGTGTGGTGATTCATGAATGGTGTACACAGAAATCAGTGCTGGTAATAGATAGCTAGAAAGTGCTGTTCACATCAAACAGTGATTACTATAAACCTCTAATTATGTGCTCTTGAGAGAGCCTTGTACCTTTCCCACTGTAATATCTAGTTCTTAAACTGGAACTCTACGACTTCAATTCAAATCTCAATGGCTTCTTAGCTGTTAAATGTAGGCTTACCCATGAATAACCGCTGACACAATCAGCTGTACCCTGCTGTATACAAGCCAACTTTGACAAGAATAATGAGTTTTCTCTTTGATTTCAATGTGTAATGATGGTTTACAAAATAAATAAATAAATAAATAAAATAAGACTGGCAGTTTGCTATAAAAATACTTGAGAGGGTACTTTGACTGAGCCAGAGTTTAACACAAATTTAAACAATATTTGTGCCCCAAGAAAACAATCATTAACCTCATCCTAATTGTAGCTCCATTCACAGTTTAGCTAAATACCTGGGCAGCTGTTTTGTGTTGAGGGTGGGACCAGAGAAGAGGCAAAGGGGAAGTCTGGAAAGAGAGAGACTGGTTTAAAAACAACAACAACAACAAAAACGCTCAGCTGTAAGTCCTGCAAAAATTGCAAAGTAATGGGCCTCTTCAATCATATTTATTAAGTCCACTGACTTAGGGGTTTTGCCCTGTTAGTAGCTAAGTTATCCACAGAGGTTATTTACATTTTGCAGCACTGAAGTCATCCACTCTGATTCACTAAATCATGCCTGCACTTGGTATGGTTTCTCCTTTGCTAGCTTACTGCAGGATCTGGAAGTGCCATTTACGGCTCAGCCCACTTGGCTTTCCATGTCCCTGACCCTTTAGTGAGCAGGCAGTGGAAGAAAGCTGCACTGCACATAAAGAACAGCTATAGCCAAGCAGAATTAGTCAAACTGTGGAAATTAGAGTGAATTTTCCCCATGTCTCAGATTGGAAGAAGGAACATATGTTAGAAATAACCAGTTACAATCAGTTTTGCCAAAATGAGAAAGTTTTAGAAAATTACACATAAAGGTGTTATTTCTCATTGAATAAGGGGTTCATATACCCCTTTCAGTGAACTAAAGACCAAAGAACCAAAGGGAAGGCCACCAAAAAGATGGACATCCTAGGTTCTTGTCAAGAGCACACTTACTGTGGTTGCATATCCCAGTCCTCAGAAAGGAGTTACCACCTTCCTTCTTGATGGATTTTCCTGCTCCCTAAATGTCTGCAAAATGATATAGGGACCTCAAGACCAAGAAGGGACAGAAGTCCTGTTCTCATAAAAACTTGTCATTTTTGTACCAGGTTTACACATTCGCTAACAATTATTTAACTTTCTCAGTGGCTTATTTCAAACATCTGGGCTTGGAGGATGGTGTTGCATTCACAAGAGAACACCAGTTTTTATCCTATATCATATAAACTGCTTTCAGAAAGTAATGTAATTTAAATAAATGCTTACAGTTAAAAAAGTTGCATTTACAATTAAAAGAGTGCCATTATTCTCCAAATGTAAAAAATGATGCTGCTAATTTATTTTATTTTATTTTTTTTTAGAGTATCAGGGGTTGTTTGGCACTGTACTACTTACATGTTTTTAATCTTTAGTTTTTCTTATACCAAATATATACTGAACAACTGCTATACCCAGGAATGTACTAGAAACTGTGGATAAAAAAATAAATACAATTTTCTCTATCTGGGATGGAAATTATGAACCTTATAAAGTGGGTAATATTAAAATTAAATCATTTGTGTCCACCAAATATGATTTTAACCCTCTCTCTATCCAAAAATAACCACTACTTAGATTGGCAGCAAATTAATGACCATAATGGTCTCATTATATTTCTATTTACTTTAGTATGGCCAACAGCAGAAAGAATTGCTCTTAGGCGTGGGTTCCCTCTACTTTAATAACAGAGATAATAAGGCTTTTAAAATACTGAGCTAAGGAATATTCCAGGCAAATCAACAGATATGGCCTCATTATCTGTATGTCAGAAAGGAGCCCATGTTACCCTCTTGTCATAGCAGTACACTTTCTCCACATTATATGAAAAATAATATTCATATAGCCCCTGAATATAACTGATATAAAAAATGGGTAAAATAAATTATTTCATGAAATTTCCATGTTTCTTAGTTGTAAGTGACCTCTGAATCTTACTGTTTCACCAGCCAAATCAGAAATATCCTTTAAGTAAAATAAAAGCAAGTATAGCCATTCATTCAATTTTTAAAAGGCTACTCCATACCAAACCAATGCAGTGTGCAAATATGGAACTTAATTAAAATACTATATATAAAATATTAACAGCTGCTATTAAAATTACATTAAACACCCTTGAGCTAGGCTAACCTAATATGAGCTCTATTTTTTTTCAATTTAATAAAGGACAGAACTTGGCTTAGTGAATGAACTTTGGTTTTTATATTGTTTGTACCAATTCACTAATCTGAAATTTTAATCACATAAAAGTACTTTACCATCACAACAGCACCAAGCATAGTAATCTGATCTTTCCACTGGATTCAAAGAAAAATCTCATGCTTCGTTTATTTTCTTTCTTAGATGCAAACAACACTTCCTTAGAACGTGTTTCTGTTCTTCCCATACAGAATTGAGCTTTGTAAATTAAAGTAGATATCATCTAATTTTGACCTTCTCCAATGAGGGTACAAATAGAGTAATTAATAAACTCTTGGTAATTTGGATGAATTAAAGAGCTTAAACAGAAAAAGTAGATTTTATTCTGCTTGAAGATTAAAGTATTTATCTGATAATTAATTAGATTGCATCAATACTTTCTCCTTATAATAAGAAACCTCATAAAATATTCAAAATAATTTTGTTCTCTGTGAGTATGTGTATATGTGCATGTGTGGCATGTATGTACATATGCATATATATACATACATATACACATATACATGTAGAGAGAGACATGCACACATATATAGACACACACACAATTTACATAGAAGAAAGACTGGAAAGAAATACCCAAAAATATAAATCATTATTTTCAAATGAATAATGAATACTTTCCTTTTTCTTTTATATTATTTTGTATTTACTAGTATTTTGAATTAATCGTGTATTACATTCATATAGTTAGAAAATTCCTCATTTCTAAGTGAATGAAAAGCAATTGATTTGATGTTTGGTGTTTTTTTTCTCCTCTGAACTTTCAGAAGATAACCGTCTAATCTGATATGGGTTGTTTTGTGTTGTTTTGTTGTTTTGAGACAAGGTCTTGCTCTGTTGCCCAGGCTGGAGTGCAATGGTATGATCACGGCTCACTGCAGCCTGGAACTCTTGGGCTCAAGTGATCCTAAGTGTGGGGATTACAGGTGTGAACCACTATTTTTGGCATGTTTTGTTTTAAAGTGCTATAAAATCTGACTTAAAATATCTCTTCTTGAAAGTAATTTTCAAAATTTTATTCTAGATCTATCTTAAGTCAAATTATAACATCCACAAGCTAATATTTCAAAGCACTACATAAGCCCATGCCCACGCCACTTCAAAATTCTTCTGCTTGAAAGTTCATATGTACCAAATTAACTGCTATCTCTGGCAGAGATAGGCTGGAGGAAGTCAGAGGGGAACACTCTATTATTATTGTTATATTTTTGCATTCCCATCAATGAACTCTTCTCAGCTTATTTTTATTTTTATTTTTTATTTTTTTTTATTTTTGAGACAGTCTCACTCTATCTCCCAGGCTGGAGTGCCGCGGCCCGATCTCGGCTCACTGCAAAATCCGCCTCCCAGCTTCATGCCATTCTCCTGCCTCAGCCTCCCGAGTGGCTGGGACTACAGGCACCGCCACCACGCCCGACTAATTTTTTTGTATTTTTAGTAGAGACGGGGTTTCACCATGTTAGCCAGGATGGTCTGGATCTCCTGACCTCGTGATCTGCCTGCCTTGGCCTCCCAAAGTGCTGGGATTACGGGCGTGAGCCACCGCGCCCAGCCTCTTCTCAGCTTAAATCAGAAAGAAGAGGAGGAGGAAGAGGAAGAGGAAGAGGAAGAGGAAGAGGAAGAGGAAGAAGAAGAAGAAGAAGAAGAAGAGGAGGAGGAGGAGGAGGAGGAGGAGGAGGGAGGGGGAGGGGGAGGGGGAGGGGGAGGAAGAAAAAATGGTAATTCAATTCCTTGTAGACTTCTTTAGGAAAGTGAGAATATTTAGGGAGACAAAGTTTCCAGAGAGGAATGAATCAGAAACACAGTCTCCAATATATCTGGGAATCAGAGTAATGGGTTCTGACCTTCCTTCTCTCCACACTCACTCCCAACTCCTTCTCAATTTCCATATATTCTATTTCTTTATTTTGTTAGGTAAAAAACATATTTCCAAACAGGCAAACACAATCTTCTTGATCTATAAACAGCAGAATAAAAAAGGAAGGATAAGAGGGAAGTAGAAAATAGTTCAGCTGGGAGTTAACAAGTACTGAGGGAGCCCATGCAAGGAGGGTATGAGCAAGAGAGTTCAGCCCCAGGTCTTCAACAGGGCCCTTCTGAAAGACCATGGTTATCACAGATTACTGAGTCTAAAAGAAGCACTCAGCTTAGTTGGTTGGGGGTGGGTGAAGTAAAGAAGGAGAGTAGATAGGTCTAAATTTAGTTATCTTCTATTATAAGATCATTTGATTTATGTATGAGTAGGACAATCAGAGCATGGGAGCCCGGGGTGAAGGGAATTAAATAAATGTAGTTGTATACTTAAAACAGATTTCTCTCTCCTTATCTCTCCCTGTCTGTCTGCCTCTTTCTCCCTCTCTTCTCTCTCTCTCTCTTCCTCCCTCCTTCCCTCTCTTTCTCAGGATTCCTACAAATGTCATCTCTGCTTCCTGGATGATTATTTCCCCTCAAAGCTCATATTAGTCAACATCCTAAGCCCCCTAAAACACTCCCAAATTTCAGTGTAAATGTGATTTCTTCGGAGAAACTTTACCTGCCACCTTTACCCCTCCTCTCTTAGAGAAATAAAATGCAGCAACAGGAAGCAGAATGTTTGCTGGTGGAATTCCAAATACCTTTCATCAGAAAGGGAAGCAGTTTGGAAGGGCAGCAGAGCTTTGCCACTGTCCTTGAAATGCTACTGTATTGATTAAAGTGTTTTTAATGCCATAGACTCATCCTAAAGTGTGACGTGCCAAACTAAGGATTTTATGTTTGGATCATTCTAATTTTTTTTTCATATTTTATATTTGCCACTTCGGGTACCTCCAAACATCCAATAACATAAGAGAAAACTGGGAATAGAAAAACTTTGAATTTTTTCACTTGCAAATTCAAGACAAAATTTTCTGCAAGATTTGGCACTTGATTACCCAATAAAAGTTCATTTAAGAAGCTATTTTAGAAGACATTTGAGCATTTGGGGTTTGATGCCCAACTATGATAATTAATTAGCTCTTTCTTTCATGGTGTGAAACAGAAGCAATATCAGGCAATTTCTTTTAGGCTAAAGAAACAAATGCAGGAAGTCTTTAATATGTCTTGGTTTTCACTTTTAGGAATGGCATGGGTGGGTGGGGTGCTCCAGCAGATAAACAGCATAGAAAAATGATAAGATTACCTGACCGTCCGTCTCTCTGGAAGTCCACATGATACCATTCTCCATCATTCACTTTCTTCAACAGGGCTTTTATTTTTATAGTACCTGACCCCATGTCCAGGAGGAGGTAGAGGTGGCCATCTAGCATCTCAATAGCAAAGAAGTCCACCTTTATCATCTGTGGGTGCTTGGCATCTTTCTGATGTCTTGGCTTGCCATGGCTAAATAAGATGAGGCCATTTGGCTCTGTTGTACGGAAATCAAATGATATGGAGCCAGTTTTCTTTGCATTCCATTTAGGCAAAGAGATGAAAGACTCTGGGGTTTCAAAGGTGATTGGGTCTAAAGTTGCAACATTCTCACATTTAAATGCCACCACTCCATGGATCTTCATCTTAGGATCTCCTTGCTTGGCAAGTCGAGATAATTCCAGCCTCACATCATTATTTTTATATACAACCTGTGGGCAGAGGATAGCAGTGAGAAACTAGCCTCCATATTTTAATATCTGAAACTTGTGAACAGCTCATGTAACTTTCAACGACATCATAAAAAGGCACACGATATTTAGTTAATTTTGTTGTATAAAGGCAACATTTCTCAGGCAAATAAAATTCAAGTGTCAATTCATAGAACAATAACCATAACAACTTAACTTGATTCAAATAATGTGTGTGCAGATGCACCCGCGCATGTGCATATACACACAAACTGCTTGTATTTAACTCAAATAATTTAAAAATCTGCATATATCTTTAATTTCATGTCTACATTACCATGCTAAGACTTGAACTTATAAAAGCTACTTGTTTCATAGTTGTCTATGATATTTTTAAAATTAAATATAAGCACTGAGGTTATTCAGTTTTCCCATCATTAAAGCATTTGAAATTGGATACCATTATATACCAGTCCCCTAAAATATTGGATCTCTTCTATTATCTATATATCTGCTGTGGATATTGACTTTGCAAGACAGTCACAACAAGTTAAAGCACAAAACAGCCTGACATTTCTCAGAAAAAAAATATATAACTAAGATACAGAAGATCCCTGACCTGCATCAATACCTTTGAATACTGTTAAGTAATGTGGCACTGCCACATGTAGAATATGGTGCTTCCCCTCAATTTATTCAACCTGTGTTACTGGTGATCCATTTCACTTTTAATTTACACAAATGCTGCGCAAGGGTTGTCTTGTACTCTCATTTTCCAAGGCACTTCAGTGAAAGAGGCTAGGCACTTCTGAGTGCTTACTGATGGTCCTAAGGCTTTTTGGATTCCAATTAACACATTTGATAATTCACTGACAGGGTTCACGGTATCATACATTTGCTATCCCTTCACGCTAATAAATTCAAAGGTATTTTGACATAAGGATAAAGAGAGAAGGACACCTTTTCTCTACAAAATGCATACAGTGGATAATCACATTTCTAAAATACATAGACCATACTTACTTGAGGGTGAATTAGTTATCTAGGTCCACATAGCTGTCTAGGCTCTTTCAAGAAGGGACTCTATAGATTTCAAAGCTCCCAACATTGCTAGACTCTAGATTTATTTATCCACATGTAAAAATGTACATATATATATATGTATATGTATACACACATGTATGTTTTGTTTTTCATTTTTCAGGAATGGCATGGGTGTTTTATATAATATATGTAACAGGAAAAATAAGACAGCCTGTATCTGATTAGCGCTATGAAGTCAACCAAGACAACGCAGCAGTTATTCCAAACCCATGGCCAACTGAACCAAGAGATGGCTGATGAGTTTCCTGATAGGATTTGTTAATGAATACTTTATTTTTCAGAGTAATTAAGAGTACATGCTCTGGTATTGGACTTCCTGAGTTCAAATTCTGGCTCCAGCATTACCGAACTGGGAAATCTCTGTAAGCCTGTTTCACTCCCTGAAAGGAAAATAATACTTCACATAATGGTTATAACAATTAAATAAGAAAATACACATAAGTGGGAAAATCTACATAAAGGCATTCATTCCAATGCCAATCACATTGTAAGATTTCAATAAATATTAACTACGTAAAATACATGATAATAAAAATCAATGCTTTATCATCTAATAGACACAGATTTTAATTCTAAATTTATCCATAGGAAAACATTTAGAAATAAAGCCCACACATATAATTGGTTTTTATACATGATTTGTGCCAACTAAATAAGTCACATCTTTCCAATGCTGGGCCTGGTGTTTCAGTTTACCTTTATCTTGGAGAAGGATTATAATAAAGAACATGATATCCCTTATTCTTTGAACAAATATGTACAATGGTTTAACAAGCATCTATTGACAACAAAAGAAGAGAAAATGAACTTGAGCAATAACAAAAAGGAATTACATTAATTCTTAAGAATACTTTTTTGAAAAGAGAAAGATCTATTAAGTCTTAGAAAAATTTATTTAGGATTGCCTTTCTTTGGAGATCTTTAGAGGCAGGGAAAATGCTTTTCAAGGATGATTTTCCAAGTTTTATCGCTTCTCTCTATGACTTTCATGCTACTTAAACCTATATTATTTTTCCTTTTTCCTATTGATTTATATTCCAGCATGTGGACATTCTTTTGACATAGATATTGATCAAGAATAAGTATTTTCAGACCCAAATGATGCTTCTCTTGATCAATGCTAACACTCATTCTTATAATAGAACCACTGTAAAAGAATTGAGTGTTTCTGACATGAACAAGTGGGTTTTAGCCCTGGTATATTGTCTCTTGAATCTGACATCAGCCACCACAAAGTTGAAGAATGAGGGGCAGTCTAAGTCTGGGCAAGGATTTCAATGAGACATAATCTTATAACTGAATCAGGTGACTTGGTGATGAAAAGGTTCAGGAAGATGTAAAAAAAATAGAAGTAGGGATAATTCCCTGGGCAAAATTTCTTAAGGTTAGCCATGCATCTCTCATAAAAAAAAGTATCTCCACCAGAATCAATGCTTTATATGCTTTACACTGGCAAGAACCTTGCTCACCACAGCGCAGCACCAAGATCAGTGGCTGGCACAGAGTAGATGCTCAATAAATATTTGTTTATAGTTGAACAAAATTCTTCCTTCACCTTTTTAAACCTAGTTTCTAGATTATAGGCTTTTGTAAATAACAATATTTAGACCTATAATTAAAATACAGCAGAATATGGTATTGCGGACCAATCTCATAAACTAATTACTATTTTGCCCTATTTCTCTAGAAAAAAGCATAAACTTATGTGCATATCCAGTTCATAATTGACAAGTTGGCCCATGCATTGGGAAATTTCATCTTCACACACATTTTGTGGGGTATAAATTCCTTTTAGAACGAAGAATGCCTGAGTTAAAACTCTCCAGAGGTTTATACACAAAAATATACACTGTGCTTCTCCTCAACATAGTTCTTGTAGGTAAGAACTATCTCCAGATACAAGAACTCTTTCCTACAAGAACTATCTTGAGAAGAAGCACACTATGTATTTTTTTCTTCCCATTTTGTACTCTTTGAAAGGCTACTCCAGAAAACAGAAAAGCAATTTTGCATTGGTAGGCTTACGGCTCTCAGATTTACACTACTATTTCATCTGACCCAGATTTTATAATTACCCTATTTTTCTAAAGTTAGACCTACTCTTAAAATGAACTGAATCTAGTTCAATTAGAATAATGAGTAGCTAGTAAGTATTCTAACTCCTCTAAAAATTCATGTGTAAGCTATTTTTGCTTCTTTCTGAAACAATGTGGCACTCAATCATGGGAACACCTTATAATTATTCATATATTTTTAATTCTTATGTCAAAAGTTGCAATTTACATGTTTCACTTTTGAACAAGTTTCTATATGCTTTATCATCATAACAATTGATGATATTTGTGCACACTCATTTGGATCTGTTTATAGAACCAAGGTTTCTTTGGGGACATTGATTTTTTTTTTTTTTTTAAAGAGTGATTCAAAATGTTGAATTTTACTTCCTCGCTTCATGGGCTTCTTTCCCATTTCTTCAAATATTTGTTAGAATTTTTAGTGTCCCTCTCATGTTAATATGCAAGAATAGGGCGTAATATGTTTGTGTTTTCACATTCCTAGGGTTTACCTTTGAGGAAAACAATCACTGAGTATTATCTTTGATCTTAATGATAATCCTGAAAACATGACAGCAATGCAGAGAAAATAAATAACTTAAAGAATAGGAGCTTAGTAGTCTGCATATTAACTTGGTTCAATCTCAAAGCTATTACTAAGCCAAGTCCCTAACCTCTCTCTGTCTCAGTTTCTTAATTTTGGAAACTGACATCTATAAAGGAAAGGCGTGCCATAACTATAAATTCTTGAGCTTTTTTTACCCTTAATATGTGTGATTTGGGACAGACATAAAAGATGGTCGATTGTTCCTGACCCCTTTCTGGCTTTCTCCTGTTGCAATTTTTGATGCCAGGATATTGTTCTCTACTTTCAGATACACTGAAACACTAATCCATTAGTAAAGAGAGTGTTCACTGCATCTTCTCGTACACAGACATGCCTCGAGGATTATATCTACCTAAGTTTTGTACAGATGGTGCTAAAGCACTGGTAGCTGATAGATAAGGCTCTTTCAACAGAGCGGGAGTATGTGAAATTCAGTGTGAAAATATTTGCCACTCAGATAATGACTTTTTAAAATAAATATGTGCTTCAGCTTGGAAATTACAATGGGGGTCTTAACTTCACTAACATGCATGATTAAGACTTTTCATTACTTAACTATGGTAGTATGCAGGATGGTGAAATAAGCGACCAAAGTTAGTGTTGTTTAGATATTTAGACTTTGTTATGACCCTCCCTGAGAGAACATGAATGACTCATATTTTAATCTATCTTGGTTTTATCTTTCATACTTGTGGCTAATAAGGAGTGAGGCCTAAGAATTTGGTTCTCAAGTCAGATTTCAGAGAGAATTCCAGCTCACTCATTTTCAAACCTGTGACCTTGTGCAAGTTCCTCAACCTTGCCAAGTCTCAAGAGTTTTATTCGTAAAGGACAATGGTATCTACCACATTAAGGTTACTGTAAATAATAAATTGTATTTTAGTTAAAGTGCTAATAATGGGTCCTAGCATGGAGTAAGTGATCAAGTAAATACTCATTGTTTTTATTAACATTATTATAAATAACATTTCTTATTCTTACATTGAATTGATGGAGCTACACAATTTAATTGTCATAACAAAGGTAACAGCTAAGAAGGTAGATAGCAATTGATTGGTCACATATTTAAGGGAATTAAATAGTGCTGAGACCAGCAGGATCAAAGGTATTCAGCAGACTGGGGCTTCCTTTTTCATGCTGATATTTACGTTGCAGTTGGATGTACACATCAGGCTTTCTCTGTAAAATTCCTTAACTAGAAAATATACACAGCAGGCTAGCTAACCTAGGAGTTGTATTTTCACCCATGAAAGGGTTTCTGTGGTATCTAACAACAGCGGCTACCACTATCACCAAAGCCACCACAACAATCAGTTAAGATTTACCAGTTCACTTTCTGGCAGGCCCTCTTATAAGAGTTTTATATATAGTAATGTGTTTAATTCCCATATGCATCCTAGAAAATAGGTATAATTATTTCCTATTACCATAAGTTACCTAGAAAATAGGTAACATTATTCTACTTTATCAATAAATATCTGGAGGCACAGAGTGACTGCATGTCTTTCTTCATGATCATGTCTAATCCTGTTTGAATACCTAATGACCTTAACCTCAAACTTTATCTTTGTTTCAGTAGGAAATTTGTCTTCGTTTTTGATAGCAGTTGCTAAGTAGATTCACAATCAAACAGCTGTTTGTCATTAGGCAAAATGATAACCTTTCAATGAGTTACATGTGCGTTCTAAATACCAGTATTTTTCCTTCATTTGTTGTCATTAAAATATCTCTAAGTGAATCAAATGTCACAAGTAAGTAGAGGAATTTATTGTGTATCTACTGATTAAAATGTCCCTTCAAGTCCAGTTATAGCAGAGGGCCTATTTCTGTTTCCAAGATGATATTGTAGTTTTTCAACAGGTATGTCATTTAGAATGTAACAAACGTTATCTTAAAAATCTGTGCGGTTTAAAAATTATTTAAAGGGACTGTTGCTTTAATGCTGATTTTTGTTTGTTTATTTGTTTAAAATGCAGTTAATGCTTTTACTCTATTAAGACCAAGTGAAGGCCGAGCGCAGTGGCTCAGGCCTGTAATCCCAGCACTTTGGGAGGCCGAGGAGGGCGGATCATGGAGGAGGGCGGATCACGAGGTCAGGAGATCGAGATAGAGACCATCCTGGCTAACACGGTGAAACCCTATCTCTACTAAAAATACAGAAAATTAGCCGGGTGTGGTGGCGGGCACCTGTAGTCCCAGCTACTTGGGAGGCTGAGGCAGGAGAAGGGTGTGAACCTGGGAGGCAGACCTTGCAGTGAGCCGAGATCGCACCACTGCACTCCAGCCTGGGTGACAGAGTGAGACTCCGTCTCAAAAAATAAATAAATAAATAAATAAATATCAAGTGAAAATATTTATTTCAAGTACCAGAATTTAATTATCATTTTCACCTAGCTGTTATCTTTCTACGCACCATCTCCTTATATCAGTGCACTGTGTCAAAATACAACCAGGAACTAGCCAGCAAGTGAAAAGTACAAGCGTCATCCAGTAAGTAGCAGATAAATTGCATTTGCTTTGCCATGATCTGGGTAAGAAAGAGCTCAGAAAAGGAAATGCAGCATATTACAACTTTCATCCCCAACATTAACTTATTTATTATTTTGAAATTATGTTTCAATTCTGACACTTCCAATTCAATCAGACACGCACTTTTTAGACACGTGCTATGGTAGGATCAATCAAATGCAATTTTAGTCACTTCCCTGTGCATATGCCTAGTTCCACAGAACATGTTACACTGAAAATAAACTAATTTAATACGCTAGTTTAATTTATCTTAAACATTTGCTAGTGGTAACTATATAATAGGTAAACTATATGTGATCAACACATATACACATAGACACACACCTACACACAACCAGAGTTTAAACATTACCCAGATACACTATATGTCAAATTTAATGTCATTGATATCCATATAAATATGCACTTATGTTAGAATATATGGTATATCTCTCAACAGATATATAGATAAGTAGATAATACATACCTATGTATGTCAGAGACATAACAAAATATAAATACATTAACAATATTTGATAATTTCAAAAAATTAGAAATTTGAAAATTTCAAAAATTAGAAATTTGGTTTAAGCACAAAGATGGTCCTACTCATTTTGTATCAAAAATGTTTTGGCCCAAAAGCAAATTTTAGCACATATAAAGTTGGTGCTTTCCACAAAAAACAACTGTAGCCTCCAAAAATTAGTATTTTATGATTAAATGAA
The DNA here is from genome assembly GCF_000001405.40 of Homo sapiens. Classification (NCBI taxonomy): domain Eukaryota; kingdom Metazoa; phylum Chordata; class Mammalia; order Primates; family Hominidae; genus Homo; species Homo sapiens. The sequence continues at coordinate 50,560,003 of NC_000002.12, forward strand.
AGGAGAAAATTAGACATTTCCCTTCATGTTCCTGCCACCATGAGGAGACAATCTGAAAAGCAGAATAAAGGCAAGGTGGTCACTTTTTAAAATCTTTGCACCCATTATTGTTTTATCTCCCACCCAAAATCAAGTTTCTTATGCTATTCACTTTCTTACACTGAAGGTCTAGCATAGGACATGATTCTAGCAAAAATGTCAAACACTGTTGAGCTTAACTGACCAAGAGAGACTAATAGGATTTTAGCTTTTCTGGGAATGTCACTCCATAGAAATTTTCATGTGTAGTGTGATATGTCCACAGGAGACAGGTGGGCATCCAGTACAGTACCTACAACTGTGGAGTGGCTGCGGGAGGGCTAGTGGATAGGGAAGACAGTGTAGAAAATGAACAAGCCCTGTACAAAGTAGTCTGATGTATGTTTATTTATTTATTTATTTATTTATTTATTTACTTAGAAGCCGTCTCACTCCGTCGCCCAGGCTGGAGTGCAATAATGCAACTATGCAACCTCTGCTGCCCAGGTACAAGCAATTCTCCTGCCTCAGCCTCTGGAGTAGCTGGGACTACAGGCATGTGCTACCACGCCCGGTTAATTTTGGATTTTTAGTAGAGACGGGGTTTCACCATTTTGGCCAGGCTAGTCTCGAACTCCTGACCTCAAGTGATCCGCCTGCTTTGGCCTCCCAAACTAATGCATCTTTAAAAACAATTCTTACCAGTAAGGAAATTTAATTTTAAAGAGACATACGTAAATAATTTTGAAAAATAAGAGTGTTTTGGGAAGGCAGCAAGTTGATCTTTTTTTCCCCTGATCTAATCTGATTCAGAGACCATGTACAGATAATATTTTCAATAAAATATGTTATCTTCTCCAAACCCAAATACCAAAACCTGTTATAAAATGGAAATCAAACTACAGTAATATAATTTATCCACAAAGGCATATGACATTTTATTTAAAACAAAAAAATAGTTAAAAATTGGAGAGGGAAAAAACAATATTTTGTTTACACAACAAAGAGAAAAATATTTTTACCTAGTCTCAATTAAATACAACCAAATATATCCCATTAATCAGGGGAAGAAAAAGGAAAAGAAAACCCCTCCTGCTTTGTCCTTCCTTCATTCCAGCATTCAGTGAACTGCTTAAAGTTACTGAGACAACATTAGGTGCAATCTGTAGAAGTTATTCATGGGAGTTGAAAGACTGAGTTGTCCTTGGGTTAGCAGCTCTATTTATGAAGCTTTCAGTGCATATGAGTATGTAGCAGAATAACCTGAGTTTCATTAAATAGTTATGTCTATTTTTCTCACATTAGTGATTCAGTAATGCCTTTTGGAAATAAATGGAAAAATGAACCACAAATGTCAGTAATGTGAAGTTTCAGCTGAAGATCTTTTTGAAATACAAACTGCAAACTTGATCAATTGTCTTATTTTCAGATGAGGAAACTGAGGCTTAAAAGGCTAGAAGGCTATCCAAGTTGGCATCAATCTCTGATCAAAATAATGTATTGGGGACTTCAGTGTTCAGTGTTCTTTCAATTTTGTGTTAAAAAAGAAAAAAGAACAAGGAACAAACTCTGCCATAGGTCCAGGGTTATGAAATGCTCTTAAGCAATTACAAACGAAGAGCAGCCCACTTTTTAGCAACGTGACAGAAAAGGAACTGGAGCTTATTTAAAGGTGACTCCAACTTTAAAACTATGTTAGCTTCATAATAAGTTGATTTTCACAGACAGATATAAAAGTCCTGAGGGGGTAAAAATTGCAGTAATTTCCCCCAATGATAGCATTTAGAAAGACACTGAACAAGTTAACTAGAATCAATAAACTTGCAATGTTCACTACTATTTTAAAAGGAAGTGATGAAGATACTTTCCGCATCAGTCTTTCATGATCTTGCCGAAAGTTATCTCACCATAACTTGGGGTTAAGAGTTTCTACTTCAAGCCAGCAGATGCTGCTAAGAAAGGCAATGCATGTCTGCTTTATCCAAAAAACTTTTCAATCTCCTGCTAGTTTCAATGGGGGAAAAGTAGCACTATTATTATTATTTTATTAGGGGAACCTATCTTCCCATATACCAAGAAAATATCTTTGAACTGATAATAACAAAATAGTGACACTAAATGATGTGTCTAGATTAATCAATGCATCTTCTTTTGTGTCTCCAGCCTCATAAGCTCAGTGAAGTTTCCTCCACCACTTAATTTTACATTTTTCTAAGGAGGCAGACATTAGTATAAGTATATAATATACCATTTAGTATATGTATATGCATGTATTATAGATAGATTAGACAAATATATGATAGATATACGATAGATAGATAGATAGATAGATAGATAGATAGATGATTTCCTACAGTCTGTCCTTTCCTCATTGATCTGCATTGACATACTATCTATTGTTTTGGATATACCAATGTTCACTATTTTAATATATTATTACTTTTTGATCATGCTCATCAATTTTAAGCTTTGAAAAAAATTTCTCCAAGAGAGATGGGATAACCAAACAATTTCATGTAAAATATTTATTACTTGATTATATTTATGTGTGTGTGTATGATATATGTATTATTTTTAATCCACTGAAAATATGTTGTCTTCTGTTTAAGGTGAAAATCCAAATTGACTTGCTCCACAAAGAGTTAGTTATTTGAACCAGCACATTTTTTTGTCCTTCTTTTTCTTACTTCAACACTCAGGGGAACACAATTTTTAAATAATTATTTTTCCGACTTGTAAGGCCTACCACATATTAAATTATTACATATATGAGATTCTATGGCTGAGCACGCTGTTCTGTTTTATTGATGTTTATTTTTTCTTGATCTAGTTCCATGTCACCTAACTGTCACAGCTTTATAATATATTCTAATGTGTGTTAGGCTCCTTCCAATCAACCAACCCATTAACATTAATTAGCTTACAATGTTTATACGTTATAAACATTATAAACATCTCATGTAATTTCGCACGTTTTTTCCTTATGAAGATCCGTTAATAAATTACCAAAAGATATAATCAGTTTATTCACTTCAATAAAAAAAAGCAATCACTGAATATTTTTAAATGACCATAACTTATAAATTTTTTTGTCTTCTGTATTGACAAAATAAATATACATCACAAGTTGCTTTGATCTAGCTTTCTAAAACATAGCAAGTTATACATTCAAATTTACTTAAGGGGACTTTAGAATAGCCCAAGGAAATTATATCTTGCTTTGAATTACATTCCTATTATTACAATTATTTGCAAAGTTATAACGCATAAATGAGTTTGACAATTTTATCATATCAGAGAATCTGGCCTCATGCCACAACAATAATTTATTAGTTGGAGGATAGATATACAACTATAGAGATAGATTAAATCAGGAAGAAAACAACAACAGTGAATGTAGTTGTAAGTGCGCTAATTCTATTCCAATAAACACAGGCCCTGGTAGAGTTCCTTGTAATAAAATACCAGGAGTAGGTGGCCAGTATATAGGAGTTATCTGGTAAATGAGATGAATTATTCTCAGTGAAGAAGAAAGTGGAGTGACCTCAGACTCCACTTTAATGGTGGCTCTTTTCTAGAGGTGAGGGTACTTGCCTGAGGTCACACTGCTATTGTTCAGAGGGAGTCAACAGTGGACAAGATGGAATCTGAATGTTTGCCTCCAGAGCCTGAAATGGACTGTTTAATTTATTGGTTTTCTTTGTATGGACAGTTTTTATGATGGTTAATTTTCCTAAAGCAATAAAAAACCATAGGACTTCTATGCTTCCTCAACCTGATGTTTCAAGAGCTGGTTATCCAGTTGGTGGATTATCCAAACTGCATGAATCCCCTTTCTTTCCCTGGCTGCCTGCCTTTACTGCTCAACTGCACATCCACCTAAGAGCCTGCAAACGAAACAGGAAAAGGTGGCATTTAAGACAGCCAATGCTGATGATGTTTTTAGCAACTGCAATGAGAACATTTTTCCAAGTAGACTTGTTCCTGAGAAGTTGTATAAGTTTGTTCTGTAATTTTAATATAATTTGATAAAAACAATGTGTTATAAGATTTATATTTACATATATTCAAACAGTCTCAGGTTTACATTCCTGCATTGCTACTTAACTACTTTTACTGCCTTGGCCAAGTTGCTTATTCTTACTGAAATAATTTCCCTCTTTATCAAATGAGATTATGAAAACTTATTTTGCAATGTTATTTAAGCACATAAGTACTTGATCCTGGGTACCTAAATAAAGGGTAGTCATTACTGTTGCTATTATGATCTTAACTGTGTAAGGTCTTAAGGGTTAAGATCTTAAATGGGTAAGAGGGGAGTGTTCATTATTTAAATTAGTAAGTGACTACTATTGAAAGCAAAGATGCATTCTGTAAAGTAATCACACTCAAATCTTGATGTTGACAAAAATACTTCTCAAATTTCGTAATTTTATCTCATCTCTCTGGAACTCTACATTTTGACTTTATCTGCTAAACAAATAGTATTTTTAAAGTAATATTTTTTATTTTAAATTTATTAAAGGCATATAAATGACAGAATGAGACAGTCTGTATAATGATATTAAATTGATGGAATTATAGCTGGATGCAAATACTTGTTTTATTTAGCTTATACTGGGTGGACTAAATATATGGCCTTTTCTAGGTTTGCTAAAATATTGAACACATGTAACTGTTGTTCATTTCTAACTAAAAGGGCCCTAAAAAGTATAGAGACCCCAGGTTGAGAACTGTTATTTTTCAATTATAACTGCTAAGCAGTAGGGTATTTCTTTTTAATCTATTCTTTAATTATTTCTTTGGAAAGTCCCACATGATTCAGATGTCAGATGGGTTGTGCCTTTTGCCAGGGGTTGCTTAGTTAACTGTTTATTTAATGAATGGGGTTTTATGTGCTACTGAATTTCTCATGGCACACGTTAGAAAATTTTTGGCAGCATTTAAATTGGAGAACTGAGAAACATATTGGCTCTACGGAAGCTCAATCAGCTCCCAGGCAGGTGCAGAGTTTTTGCCAACAAAAATTCAGTAAAATAAAAAATGCAAAGCCCAAATTCTCACACAACCCAAAGAAAACTGACTTTGGTGTCCAAGATTAAATGAATGCTAGATCCAGGCAGCTCAGGTAGCTCAAGAATGGAAGGGGAAAATGCGTCATAACTTTAGGAGAGAAGCAGGAATGGGACCTTCTTGTTTTGGTGGATGACAGTATGCATACATTTTTGGATTGCTGAGAAAATTCAACTAACTCCTAAAAAAAAAAGAAAAGAAAGAAAATAGTCTCATGTAATTTCGCACGTCTTTTCCTTATGAAGATGTGTTAATAAATTACCAAAAGATATAATCGGTTTATTCACTTCAATAAAAAAAAAATCATTGAATATTTTTAAATGACCATAGCAGTCACTGAGCATCCTAGACCAAGTATCCAGATGGCTATGTTTTTTAAATGATTTGGCCAGATATATAGACATTGTATAAGCATTGGTTACCAGATTTATTTACTCTGACTGGGAACCAAAAAATATCCTGACATGTCTTCTGAGTTCTGAAAAGTCCTAAATGCACATATATATAAAATTTTACTCAGTAGTACAATAGGATGAGAAAAAACAATGGAAAATATTTTTTTTTAATTAAACACTAGTTTGAGAAAATAAAGATGAGAATGTATCTTTCAGCAATTAAAGTGAATAGTACCAGCCTACTTATCATTACTACATGACTCTCCAAACTGTGTGGAATAAAAGCCATTTGCAGTCATCTCCTCCCAAGTATAACTGTCATCAACTCCTCCCGTCAATACTCTGCCCTTGGCCAGACCATGTCCCAGCCCTTCTCCCTGTCTGGAAGGGCAATGTCCCGAGTCAGGCTTGTTCTTGATTTCTCCTCTCCTAGATGTAGTTTCTGGCAATACTGGCTTATTGAAGACTCCTGCATTCTTGGGACACCAGTGGATATTCTTTAGTATCATTTTCCTGCTGTATTCAGAAATGGGGAGGGCTGTGCTCATTAGCACAGCGATGCTGACCCGACACTAGGTTGGCCACCTCTTGGTGGCTACATAAACACACGTTCCTCACTTCAGGCCTAGCCAACTTGGCTGTCTTCTATTTCGGTTGTATGTTGAACAAGTCCCCAGTAGACAGTTCATTAGAGTTGGCCAGCTACATCCACTTTGCCCCTAATTGCCTTTGATTAGCTTCTACGTTGCCTGGTATAATTATTTTTTTTTAATTGAGATGGAGTCTCACTCTGCACCCAGGCTGGAGTACAGTGGCATGATCTCAGCTCACTGCAACCTCCGCTGCCTGGGTTCAAGAGATTCTCATGCCTCAGCCTCCCAAGTAGCTGCAACTACAGGCACGTGCCACCACGCCCAGCTATTTTTTTTTTTTTTTTTGTATTTTTAATAGATACAGGGTTTCGCTATGTTGGCCAGGCTGGTCTGAAATGCATGACCTCTGGTGATCCGCCTGCCTCAGCCTCCCAAAGTGTTGGGATTACAGGCGTGAGCCACCGTGCCCAGCCATCATGTTAATATGAATCATTACAGCACCCAACAGCAACTGTCAAGCACCTTCTCTGTGTCCCATGCTTGTTGAACAACAAACTTCTACGTCTCATGACAGTCTTATGAAGTAGACATTTTTATCTCCATACTAAAGCTCAGAGAATTTAAGTATTTTGTCCAAATTACACAGTAACTAGGTGACTGAGCAGGGATCCAACTCAGCTTTTATCTAGCTTGATTCCAAAATCACAGATGCGATTCTAGTGCATGCTCCCCACCCCATGGGATAGTAGCTGAGTTCCTATTTACTTATTCAGCCCTGGTTCTGGGCACACTTTCTCAATCTCATCATCATGCCTTTCGTGTATAGAAGTAAAGGGACTCCTTATCCCTTTTCTCTTTTTCGACCAAGTGCCTCATTAACTAGCTGTGGTTCTCTTAACACTGCTGGTAAAAAATAATATTAATAATAATAATCCCCCTTAGGTTTCATCCTACTCTCTTTCTCTCTTGATGTCAGGATAATTGTTTTTCTCCTTTCTGTCCTATGCACTCTGATTTAGTGTCACACTTGTTTTGTGCTCACTTCACTCTTAGGACCAAATTACCAGACTACATTTTAAGAAGGTACAAACGTTGTTTTGAATGTTAAGAATTCTTTAAGATTTTCTAAGTTGCCTTGTAACTGGAGAATAAAGAATGAGGTTTAACACTAGGATGAATAACATTCAACACATCAGTTTTCAGGGGTCTAGAGTTAGATTTGATGATTACAGCCTCCTGTAGTCAATAAGAGAAGAGAGATGTACTAACCACACGTAGACTGGGACCATTTTTTTCATTGTAACTGATGAAGCCCAAAACAGCAGGGCCAGAACTTGGGTGAGGGGTCAGGTAAGTGAGATACTCACTTTGGAACAAAATATAAAGGAGGATGTTAAATCTCATATCACGACAAATATTTCAATGAAATATTTTTAAAACTTAATAAGAAAAAGTCCACAATGAACAAGGTATTCAAATTTTAAATAAAGATATAGAATCTGATTTTTCCTTTTGCCTCAAGCTCCACAATGCTTTGGTAGAGCCCTGCAATACAATATTATTCTAAGATTAATGAACTCCATTTAATACGTTGGAAACATATTTATTAAAACAAGTGCAAGTAACTAGAATAGTGTGGGGGTAAATTTCATCATTAGATATCATTAAAATTAGAACTAGAATGCACTACTAATTTTTAAGGTGTAATTAGTCATTAAAATCACTTTTATTCAAAAATAATGACGAACACAGAGTGTTTAGTCAGACATTCTTTTAACCACTTTACTCATATAATCCTCATGACAACCTGCTGATATAGTAGAAAAGGCCCACTGCTACAGAATTCCCAATGTAATATTCATTAAAATACAATGTCTGTGGAGCTGTGCAGCACAGTGCCTCTCATAAAATTAGGGTCCCCATTTTTCAGAAGAAACTGAGCTCACATAGTAAGTACCAGAATGAAATTTAGACCCAGACAGTCCAGATACAGAGTGCTTGTTCCTAACCATATTATAGAAACAAACCAAGCCTCTCAAAGATCAAGTAATGTAGCCTATTTCTACCTCAACCTCTGTGTCACTAGACCTCAAATTGCAATTAACTTTTAATAATAATGATCCTAAGAAACTCTCCAGGACACTGGACTAGACAAAGATTTCTTGAATAATACCCCATAAACGTAGGCAACCAAAGCAAAAATGGACAAATGGGATCACATTAAGTTACAAAGCTTCTGCACAGCAAAGGAAACAATAAACAAAGTGAAGAGACAACCCACAGAATGGGAGACGATATCTGCAAACTATCCATCTGACAAGGGATTAATACCAGAACATGCAGAAGTCCAAACAACTAAATAGGAAAAAGTCTAATAATCTGATTTTAAAATGGGCAAAAGATCTGAAAAGACATTTCTCAAAAAAGGCATACAAATGTCAAAGAGGTATATGACAAGCTGCTCAACATCACTGATCATCAGAGCAATGCAAATCAAAACTGCAATGAGATATCAACTCATTCCAGTTAAAATGCCTTTTATCCAAACACAAGCAATAACAAGTGATGGTGAGAATGTGGTGAAAAGGGAAACCCTTGTACACTGTTTGTGGGAATGTAAATTAGTACAACCACTACAGAGAACAGTTTGGAGTTTCCTCAAAAAAACTAAAAATAGAACTACCATATGATCCAGCAACCCACTAGTATATATATACCTCAAAGAAAGGAAATCAATATATCAAGAATATATCTGCATTCCCATGTTTATTGAAACACTAGTCACAATAGCCAAGATTTGGAAGCAACCTAAGTGTCCACCAACAGACAAATCAATAAGGAAAATGTAGTATATATACACAATGAATAATTATTTATCCATAAAAAAGAATGGGATTCTGTCATTTGTAACAACATGGCTGAAACTGGAGGTCATATTGTTAAGTGAAATAAGCCAGGCATAGAAAGGCAAACGTTGCATGTTTTCACCTATTTCTGGGAGCTAAAAGTTAAAACAATTGAATTCATAGAGACTAAAAGGATGGATACCGGGGCCTGGGAAGGGTAGTGGGGGTTGGGAGAAGTGGGGATGGTTAATGGGAACAAAAATATAATTAGACAGAATGAATAAGTTCTAGTATTTGATATCACAACAGTGTGACTGTAGTCAACAATAATATATTGTACATTTTAAAATAACTAAAAGAGTGTAATTGGATTATCTGTAACACAGGAAAGGATAAATGCTTGAGGTGATGTATACCCCAGTTACCTTCATGTGATCATTAGGCATTGCATACCTGTATCAAAATATCTTATGTACTCCATAAACACTTAGTATGTACTCAGAAAAATTAAAAATAAAAGAAAATAATGACCCCAAGAGTAGATTCTGCCATAAATTTTACAGAAACCAGTCAAAATTTGTTATATATATTATATGTAATATAAACACATATGTATGTGTGTATAATACATATATAATACATATGATGACTCGCCATTGAAATAACCTTGAGAGTCACTCATACTAACTTAAGAACTGCAATCCATCTCTGATATTCACCCGTCTACAGGCCAAATACAGAAACTAGACTAAATACCTAAGGTATTTTTATAAAATTGTGATGGATACTAATTCTGCAGCTCACAGGCATTGAAAGGCCAATTGAATTCAGACCCCTGGCCCTGTCATTAACTTCTGCAGGTGTATAACTGGTATTCTTGTATCAGACAGCCAATGTCATCAAAATGGAATACAACAAATTGTTATATAAAACATTTTAGCTCTCCACATTAAGTAGCATTATAATTATATGATGAAACCAGAGCACTGTGAAGGATTATAAAAAAGATTAAAGAATTCAGAATAAACACTTGAGACCTTGTCTAATACGGATGCTCTCAAGTAACTACTGTTGCCAATTAACGCTGCTCATATACATGTGGATTTCTGATTATCTGGTTTACTACTAAATTAAAGAGCAAAAAATAAAAAATAAAATCTCTAATGCCTCTACTGTAGAATATTTCTATTGATATTTTGGAGGGATCTATAAGAAGCCAATATCAAAGCAGGAATGTCTTTTAGAAACAAGATAGATCAAGCTTGTCTCTTGAGAACATGTTATTCTAGAGAGGAAGAAGGAGTAAGACATGGGCTGGCAGCAGAGTACTGGGGGCGGGGGGAAGAATCAAAGACAGAGAAATCCAGTGGAAGTAAAGTATACGAGGCCTTTATGCTACACAAAATGGTGGGCATTTCCATAGCACTGGTACACAGGTTGGTGCTGTTAATCATACCTTATTAATTGCTATTAGTAATCTCATTTAGAATTAATTTCTTATAAGTATCGTAAATCCAATAATCTGCTCCTTCCTCCTTATGCTAACATATCACAAGAGAAAAATTTTACCCTTTGTGAATTTAGAGGTGTTTTCATGACTAGATGACTTATTCAAGTTAGCACTTTGTGTGAATCTTTGCTTTGCTGTGTGGTTGAGTGGCAGAAAGCAACTGTAAGCCCAGGAGCTATGTTGACATGTGTCTCACTGGTCAAATAAGGAATTAGATATGAATGTGTATAAATTATATTAAACCCATCCAGACTGGAGGAAAACAACCTATTTGATAACAAATTTATAACATGGCAGTCATGTTATATATATATAACATAGCAATGCTCATATAATCCTGAGTCTTGTTAAAATAAAGACTCAAAGTGCTGCTACAGACTGTAGGATATGATTTATTTTGATATCAAAGTGTTTTCCGCAGCTTGGTTACCTTTGTGATTTGGATCAGGGAAAGGTGTGTACCCTATCACCTTACCCTATGCTAGATAGATGTAAATTTTCCACAGAAAGAAGTGGTTTGGGTAGTCACTCAGTTACTAGATTCAGCTGTTTTTGACCAAGCCACAAGAAATAACTCAGTAAACAAAAACTCTTTGAGAAGCAGGTCTAAGTTTAAATCCCAAATCAGAATGCCTACACTGGAGGAAAAAATCAGTTTTTACTGGCCATGGCTTTAGCTATAGGCCCAAGGATCTGTTTCTTGGAGAGTCTAGTTGATACCAGGAAGGAGATAGTAGTTAAAATTAATGCAATATAAAATGTTTCCCACAGTGATGCTTAAGTGAACACAAGAACAACCCTAATAGCTGATTGCTTCAGAAAAGTAAAATATAAATGGTCATTCAGAACAACAGGTTTGCACAGGAGAAGAAACTCAGTAAGTCACGAGTTTGAAGAATTGTATTAAGTTTCCTGGGTCTTAAGAAGAAGTGGCTTCTACATTCTTAGACACAATGAGGATGAAAAGTTTGAGGTTAAACCTGTGTATTTTCATTCTCTGTCACCTTAATTACTCAAGGTCTCAGTGTATTTTTGTCTAGTGTACTATCTCTGTCCTTGTTGTTTCTTGATTCTCCTACCCACTGAATCTATGGCTGAGCACATTTGATAAGTGTGTAGTTCTGTTCAGTTTCGGATCTGCTAAGATATTTTTAAAGTACATAGTGAGATCATAAAATGAGATTTTTTTTTTTGGTTTGAAAAATTTTGGGGGACAAATAATATTTAAAAACTGTCAATGTTTCCACATTTCAACATTAGATGGGAGGTGCCTAGGAACCATAGAGTATATTGCAGAAAAGCAAATAACTAAAATGCCTCAAGGGAAGTTCCTGCAACACAGAGAAAAGAAAACCATTCAGATGCTTGGGGGAAAAGCTTAGAAAAAGGGAAAAACAAAAAGAGGCAGCTGGGGTGGCCTTCCTCCCCAACAGAGCTGAACCTAAGAACATCCAGATAAAACCAGAGTCAGAAAATACTGGTGTTGGTTCCACATTCATGGGGAACTCTGAAAGCCTCTCAGAGTAATCTCGATTTTTGGCAGGGTACTCTATCAGTCAAGGCCTAGGAGTAGATGTGGTAATTGCAGAAGGGAGTTATATTAGAGAAGCCCCAAAGACTCTGGCGGGTTGCAGAGAAGTCCTTTGTATTTTCAGGTGGACCCAGAGAAAACAGGAGGACTAAGGGGTCAGCAGAGGTCTGGAGCTCACGCAAGGAGTCTTCCAGAATCTTGAGCCTGAAGGCAACCACAAAACCCCATGTCCTGAAGGGCATGCACATACTGTGCCCAAACAACCAGCCAGGTCATTTTCTAATGCTTAAAACATGAGGTCAATACCAGACAGGTGATAAATATGATGCTATACCAAATTCTGCTGCCAGAAATCCTCTCCAATGCGCTCTGGATAAAAAGATATATTAATAATTATACTGTTTTGTTTTTTAATGTCTGATCTAGCTCCTTCTGTTTTTGCAAGCATACTTCTTAGTGGTTTCTTTCATAAGAATAGACTTATTTAGCCCATCTAATATATGAATGATTTCAAAGTTAATGTTAACAATAATAGCCATCACTGATTATTTCCAATATGTACCAGTCAGTATGCATTGCAGCCATTATCATTAATTGTTATATCAATTCTCTGATGTAGGCTTTTTCTATCCCCATTTTCAGATATCAAAAGTTAGGTAACTTTCCTGAAGCTGCACAGCTAGTAATAACTCATTCCACTGTATCACACCAAATTACAACAAATGATTTCTAACAAGTGATAAACCCTGACAACCTCTGAGAACGAAAAGGCCAGAGAATTAGAAGTTAATAAAACTTACTTTATTTTTCCCTATTCAACATTTGTATTCAAGATTATTTATTTTCTTAGTGGTCAAAACCTACTAGGTACTAGAATGAGGGTCAAGGTATTGAGACATTTTGTTTCTAGTTTCAGCTCTTTCATTAATTGTGTGAATTTGAGCAAGTATCTTTATTGCTTTTTCATCTGTTCAGTCAGGATAACAACTGCCTCATTTTACTCTCAGTATTATATGTATTTCTAGCCTTGTCTTAATTGAAATACAATTGGATAATATGCAATGTACTTTTACGGTGAGTTAAAAATGCATTATTATATTCACATATAAAATTATATCAGTCCAGGCATGGTGGCTCATACCTGTAATCCTAGTACTTTGGGAGGTTGGGGCAGGAGGATTGCTTGAGCTCAGGAGTTCGAGACCAGCCTAGGCAACATAGCAAAACCTCATCTCTATTAAAAAAATAGTTGGACATGGTGATGTGCATCTGCAGTCCCAGCTACTCAGGAGGCTGAGGCAGAAGGATCGCTTGAGCTTGTGGGGTTAAGGCTGCAATGAACCGTAACTGCACCACTGCACTCCAGCCTGGGTGACAGAGAGACACTCTGTCTTTAAAAAAAAAAAACGGAATCTAAAGTCAAACACATGGATCTCTGCCTAGGTCTCAGATGAAGGACCTGGATGGGAAAACATCTCATTTCTAAGTCTATGTGGGAGTGGTAACTTTTAAATTAATTTATAAGAAATATAAATGTATTAGAAGGTATAAGGTTAACTATTAGATAGTTAATTATTAGAACATTTCAGATGCTAACAATCAAATATGATATTTTTATCCATATTACAACCAAGTTAAGGTAAGAAATGAAACAGCATCTCATTGGGGTGGAATCCCAAAGAGATGTAAACCTGAGTAGTTTCAAAATATGTGATGGAGAATTTGAAAATCTGCGCTTATAGATTCTGCCAACAGCGGATGGAAGATATTTGAAAATAATAATAATAATAATAATAAATACAATAATAAAATGATACAAATAAACAATGCACTGTAACAACTATTTACATGGTATTTACATTGTATTAGGTATTATAAGTAATCTAGAGATGATTTAAAGTATACAAGAGAATGTGCCTAGGTTATATGAAAATACTACACCTATTTAACATAAGGGACCTGAGTAACTACAAATTTTGCCATGTGGATGAGGAGGGGTCATGGAACCAATCCCCCTCAGATGGTTATATCATATAACAAACATATGTCTTGTTATTTGTGTTGTTGCATATTTAAGAAGTCTCCAACAGTTTTTCCCAGGACTGGGTTTTAAAAGGCCTTAATCTACTGATAAAAGCTTTGTGCTTACCCTAAAAAGTAGTCCTCCTTTACTTCTTTTCTAGCATGTCAAGAAAGAAACACCCAGGAAGACATTAGACACCCTATGCATATAAAAATGGCAATAAAAGAAAGCCCCAAATGCCATCTAACCAATAGAAGTAGAATAAATTGGTGGGCATTTTACATTCACTTAAATATCCAAATGATTTAAGAGGATGTCGCTAAAAATTGGCTGATATATTGGCTTTTGTAAAAAAAAAAAATCTGAATTGAAATTTGGATATGAACCAAAAGCTTCCGTCTTCAAGGACTTTTCAATTTCCTCCAGTTTGCACGTTTGGAAACTGAACGGTTCAGCATATCTCTAATAAAAAAATCATCTCCCAAGGCTCCTTTCCTATGCAGGCAAAATCAAATTAACTTCAAACAGAAGAGGTGAGATGCATACATAGAGGAAGTATCAAACTCTAACATCACTTTGCTCCAGCTCTCTAAGGTCTCCTAACGTCTACCTAGGAGAGAAATCCAAATGTTAACTTCACCCAAGATCACTCTGAAAAATCTAAAGAGAAGTGTGGCTTCCAAAAGAGAATCATACTAAATTAATTATTCCCCTATGCTGTCAGGATTTGCATTGACAACACCATACGGTAGTATTCTGGACTTTTACTTAAGAAGTGATGACAGCCAACAAGATTCCAGGCTCCATTCAAAGGCTACAAATTGTGCGGCACCCTTGCCTTGCTAGCTGGGCAGCCATTTGAATCAGGGGATTCTTGTGCTTTGGCTGCAGAAGTTGAAATGATGCTCTGTATCGTTTGAGACATGAACTGCTGCGTGCACACCACACAACGTCCCCCAGCAATGATGCATTGCACTAATATGCTCTCAGAGCATACTCACTGGGATGTATTAGAGCAATGTATCACCAAAACACTTAACTTACAGGATGTATTGCCACGTGAGGTGGAAATGGTTGCCAATGAGGTGTTTTAAAGATAATTTCTAAAGTTGTGTATTAAATGATGTTTATGTCACCTTTCTGGTGATTTGGAAGATAACATTTTGAGATTCTGTTATGCTTGATCTTTGGTATTCAGTGCCTTTTCCCCCTCACAAAAGCACTCTTATTGCAGATCATTTTTAATCGGAAAACTCAGTAATTGAGCTTCACCTAAGTGTGACACAAAATGAATGAAGTTTGTGTGCATTGCTGTGCAATCAGCCCTGAAATTCAGTTGTGGGCATAAGCCCTGGTGCTGGGCTGCATCTTCCCCAGGGTGGGCGACATATGGGCTAGCAGTAGGCCCTGGGCAGAAAACATGAGAGCCAGGTAGGGATGCTCCCTAGAGGCAGAAAGCTCTCTCTGCAGGCACCTACTTCCTCTGTTCCAATCCCGCATACCGTTTAATGACAGGCTCTGTATTGCTATAGTTATGTGTGCCAAAGAATTCTGATCTCTCTTTTTATTGCCTAATTTTATTAGATAAAAGGATGGAGTAACATTAGAAAACTAGCAATTTACAAATTCTAAAAATAGATATTAGAGTTTCTCTTATTATATATATTTTTCAGATTGGCTAAAATATGTTGCTGGATACCCATTTCATAAGGACAGAGTCCACATCTGTTTTGCTTACCATTTTTCCCCAGTACACCATGTCTGACTTGTAGAAAGTGTTCAATAAATGTTTATTCAATGCATTAATAGTCATGCTTCCCTTTTACAGTAGAGCTATTTCATCACAACTTTTTCTTTGGAGGCAAAGCATGACTTCTTTCAAGCAGAATTGCCCTCTCTCGTAACCAGAAATCAAATTGCATCTAATAATGTTACATCATGGCAGTTACTTTTGAAAGAGTTGTTCTAACCTCTAGACCTTGCTTAAAGCCAACCTAGGATCTTTATAAATATTTATTTATAAAAACATGTGAAAAAGACAGCAGGGAGGGGGAGAAAGAAAGAAACAATGTGATTATTACTAGTATTTACCAGTGCATTTAAACTTCACTAGATTCATTTGAAAATATGTTTCCATACACATATTTTCAGAAAAGTCTTTATTTTGTAAAGAGATATCCACACATATGCACATAGTTAAAGCTGCAGCAGTGACTACAAATAGATCAGAAAAAATCATATATGGCTTATACAATTAGTGTTCTCATGTCATAATCATATTTTGTATACTGCAGTTTTTTAGTTATGGTAGTGACAAATTTCCTGGTATATTTCCTCCTCAGTAATAGATTTTTTTTGGCATTTTTGACAGTGTCATATATTCTAGTGTCCAATATAAAACAAAACAAAACCCTATAATTCCTTTTTATAGTTGCATTTCAAACTAATACCAGTGCATTCCTGATTCTCTTCCTATTAAATCATGTTTTTACTCTTTTTTCCCCCTCATTTCATTGTACATCATAGGTCTCCAAAATAGCTTTGATTTTAAGCTACCTAAAGAAAAACATTTTTTTACTTGTAAATTCAATAGCCTCTCTTTCATTAATTACCAGACACACACAAACACATACATACCCCTCTTGAAAATGCTTCCAGTTCTCTTTTATACATTCTATATAAAATAGATGTAAGACTTGCATTGCCAAGGCTGAATTTGTTCGTATCCAGCTGGGTCAGGGTATAATATGATGGCAGCTCCTTTTTTAAAGCATTGTCAATTTATATTTCTCCTAAAAGATGGCTTTCCTGACCTCCCTTTTAACTTTCTCATTCTCATCCCTCTGGCTTTTTCCCTCTTTACCTATTCTCTTCCCCCAACCTCCTCTGTGGTTAAGTAGCTCTTCTTTGGGGCTTTAATTAGTAAATACTGCACCTCTATGATGTAATTTATTATATTCTTGCTAATCTTTTCTGACATTTTAATGATAAGCTCCTGGTCATCAGCAGCCATATTCTCATCCAAAACTTGTATCTATATTCCCACTATGGCAAGTGATAGACTGCTACTATTTGGTTGTGAATTTTCTGAACCATTATTACGTTTTCAAATCTCAGCATTTTTTCACCTAAAGATGATTCTTGGTGAGACGCTTCACATGCAGAAATCAATGAATAAGTAATGTAAGCTGAGAGACAACTCTGAAACTATTATGGGGACGTAAAAGATTAAATTAGAACATTCATTTTTTGTCCTGTTACTGGCACAAATAAAATATTTGAAATCCAAAAGAAAATGTTGTTAATCTGTAAATATAAAATAAGTCTCATCAACTGTAATAGATAAATGTTAGCTGCATATACACTAGTTGTCTAAAAAAAAAAAACAAAGATTACTGGCAAAAGTATCTAATTCTATGTCTCATTAGACCTTTATGATTGATTTCCCGCAGTATCACTGCACGGCAGCATTCCATATTTTAGTTCCTAAGATCACATTATATATGGAATTCCAGTTTTTCTTTGTTTCACTTATGTGTTTAGCTGAAGAACATTACTAAGTACTTTTTCAACCTGCGGCCAAGGTTAACACCGTGTAAAAATGCCAATAAAGGAGAATATACTCCATTATATCTATTGTTATGATCAACAACTTGGGACATATATAAAGAAAATTCTGCCATAATACATTTAGTCACGGTAATAGTACCTGACTGAAACACACACACACACACACACACACACACACACTAAATGGTATGTCTTTTGAAAGGAAATAACTAAATTAAAGTCATAGCAATCCAGAATAGTGATATATGTGTTGGGAAGCCCAAGTTTTTAGGAGATGGAATAAATTGTTAAAACAGTTACTAACCAATAATTTTAGCTATAATATGCAATAATGTCATCTAATTATCTTTTTGTTGGAGCACTTGTGCATAGATAGATACTATAAAGTCTGACGTGAGTTCCTTAAATTATATTTAAATGTAGATTAAAAGCTAGGAAAATTGACATTCAGATTTAGCAAAGAAAGAATAGTATTTTCCTACTATAATGTTACAAAACCATTAAAGACTACAATTTGGTACTGCTCATTCCACAACAAGTTGTTGCAGAATATTATGAGGACACAACGGCCCTGAAAATCTTCATTTCCAATATTAAATCCAATGCTCTAGACTTTCTTGTGCTTTTTGTTTTTAGAGCCCTTGAACAAAACTAAACAAACTTTCAATTTCTCTTAAATCACTCTTTTTGATTTGTTCATAGCAAGAGCATAGTGTCTTGGACTCCGGAAAGGCTCAGTTCCAGAAAGTCCACATAGGAAGGGTTAATAAAACAACGTTTGATAGGGGTACTTAGGAGGATTCTTTTGAAGCTGCATTTGTACAGCAAGCCCATAACTTTTTAAAAAATTTGTTTTGAGGTCATGGGAGATTCATATAGAATTGTAATAAATAGTGCAGAGAGATCCTGTGTGATCATTACTCACTTTCCCTGAATGGTAACGTCTTTCAAAACTATAGTACAATATCACAACCAGGGTATTTACATAAACACAGTCTACCTATCTTAATTCAGATCCTTTACTTTTATACTCATGTGAATGTGTGTAGCTGTGCATGTGTGTATTTAATTTCATATCATTTTATCACATGTATAGGCTTGTATATCCACCATCACCATCCCTCATTTTTAACAGTGTATGTTATAATAAATTAAAAAAAATGCTAAAGCTTTTTAATTTATATTCTAGATCTAGATAGATAAAAAGCTAAAGCTTTTTAATTTATATTCTAGATCTAGATCTAGACAGGCATGAGATATAAATCATTCATATTATTATTATTTTGATTGGGGTCACTGGAAAGGCATTGATGAGAATATTACATGAACGAAATCCACGCCTCCCCCTACAACTTGCTCTCAACACTGAGGGCATCTGGGGTTAGACTTCAATTAGATACCATGTAACCATCACTTCTTACCTGCAGCACACATTTCATTTTCAGATTTATTTTCCCTTAAGCTGCATTTCCTATTTTGACATGCTTCTCTACAGAAATCATCCAAGATATTAATATTTTCTTAAGTCATATGATCCTAATCTTAATGTCATAAACCCCATCCACAAACTGTGGGTAGAGCGAAATGAGGCGTCTTGTTTTGCACCAGTTTTTAAAGCAGAGCAAGTGCTTTTTGGGCTACAGGACCAGGAGGAAAACTGATTATTAGCTATTGTTTTCTGATACTAAGTCTAGGATGGGATTGATTACATTTTGTACTTTTATTCTAGAGGTGATGTGACTAAATAGGAAAGCCTGTATTAGACTCCTAAGGAGACAAAAAAGCCACAAAGAACCCTAATCTAATTTAGAGTGTGATGCAGGGCATGGTGGCTGATGCCCGTTATCCTGGTACTTCGGAAGGCCGAGGCAGGAGGATTGCTTGAACCCAGTTTGAGATCAGCCTGGGCAACACAGTCTCTACCAAAAACAAGCAAAATTAGTCAGGTGTGGTGGCATGTGCCTATAGTCCTAGCTATTTGGGAACCTGAGGTGGGAGGATCGCTTAACTCTGGGAGATTGAGGCTATAGTGAGCCAAGATCACACCACTGCACTTAAGCCTAGGAAGACCCTGTCTTAAAACAAATACAAAAATAAAAAAATATATATATTTTGGAGTGTGAGTGTAGAGGAAGTGAGTTGGGAGTTCACTGTATAATGAATACAGCAAGATTCACAAGGTTGCATTATTGTCATCCAGCTTTTTCATAAATATGCATGTAATATGAAGGTGAATCTAGTAGGAGAATATGACAATCCTACCACTGGAAAAAGCAATTGAACATCAGGTGCATCCTTGTCCGAGATCTACATAAGAAAGATGGCAATGTCACTAAAGTTATCATGAAAGGGTTATATTTTCTGATGGGGGATTCTTCAGAAGAATGTTTTCAAGCAGCAAGGAGATTTTTCTGATTGAAATTATTTATTTGCTTTATTTCCCTTCTTGCACAATCTTTTCCCATGAGGTTTGAGAACAGGTCTTATTCTTCTTTATATTTCCCTCAGATTTTAGACTGGCTAGTTACATGAAATAACTATTCAATAAATATTTACAGAATTATATCATGCCTAAATTTCATATTTCCTGAAGAAAATGCACACCCATATTTTAAAAGAAAACAGAAGTTGGAAAACAGACCTGCAAATTATAAACTCAGAAATCGATGTCATCCAATGTATGATGCTGGGTCTATTTTTTAATTTTAGCTCCGTTGTTTATTGCAAGCATCCATCCTTCCTATAAATCCCCACACCTACATCCATAAACAAAGCTAGCTGAAACCCACAGCGATCTGGGTTTCAACGTGTTTCAAAATAAAATCATTTAAAAATGATCAGACATTAATTCAACACATTGGTGTTAATTAACTAAGGTCTGAAAATGTCTATAATTATTTTTAGTTGTTACTTGATTAACATAGAGAAGTATATCACTATTATTTTCTCTAGAAATAAAACTGAGTGGGACAGATTATGAGACACTTCTGACTCACCTAGTTCTCCAAAAGATGCTGGAACAGAGAGCTACGTATGAACAAGAAATGTGTCAAGTGAAGGAAGGTTGGAAGAAAGTAGAGGGGTATATGCTGGACAAAAGACTACTCAACCCAGTAGTCAACACATTCTAGATATCTGAAAACTGAGTTTTCCCTCTCCTTTGTGGCAGTCTGGTTCAAGAGGGTATTGTTCTCTCTCCACTGCTTGTCTCCTCATAAATCATCTGAGCAGAAGGGCTTATTTCCATGCTATGTTCACAGCTACTATACCGTCTAGAACACTACTGGGTCTAAATACATACTAATGAAAATAATGGAGAGAAATTAAATATAAGTTGCTATAGTCCCAAAAGAACTCTTAGAATATGGCCATACACATGAGTAAATTACCTTAATCGAAGGTAATATAACCTTGAAAATGTAACAATTCCTTTAAAAGTATTAAAAAATACTTTTTTGGAGGACAATATACTATGCTGAGACAAATCAACAGAATTATGAGTTTTGGATTTGACATTCAGCATTCTCATTTACATTTGACACCTATAAAACAGAAATATATAAATTTATGAATACACAGAAGTTCCCTAAGGACAGTGATTTTTGTCTATCTGCTGTATTTCTTGAATTCTATTGTCTGGCACTCAAACATATATGCTGAATGGATTTATAATTAAAAATAAAAATGTTTGGCTAGTGAAAATATCCTTTCTTGGCCTACAGTTTTCAGGTTAATGTGGCAGCACCTCGTATCTATGCATGCCAAAACCCTAATAATGATAATCCAAATAATAACACTCATATTGCTATTCCCACTTTATTGGATAGCTTATGTTTCTCTCTTCAAATAATTAAAACTCAAATAAATTAAACTGGCCATATTTCACCATCCCTCAGATTCATAGGTAATATAAAGGATAAATCAGTAGCCCAGTAAGAGACAACTAAAAGGTTGAATTTATTATTCTTTGCAACCAATAAGTATGGGCTGAGTTCTTAAACAAGAGTTTTCTGTGATAATTTTTATTAGGTGCAAAGGGAACTAATGAGGAGAAATAGGTTTAAATTGAAGGTGAGAATTTGGAGGGATCATGAGAAAGAATGTCATGATGATGACAGAATGGTACTAGCAAGAGTCTTTGGAGTCTTTTGAGAGTGTCAAGGACAGAGTGGGCAGCTACCTGTTCTGGACAATAAGACATCTAGCTAGAAATGATGGAGCCAAACCAGGTTATCTTTAAGAGCTCAAATAAAGTAACTGATTTATCCAAGAGCATACAGTTACTTAGAGGCAGATCCAAGACTATATGCCATGTATATAAACTAGGTGCGCTTGGAACCATGGGCTAGGTCATGGTGGAGAGTGACATCTTAAAAATGTTAAAAAAGCTATGCCGTATACATAGTAATATTTCACTCTAGTACATCATCACAGAGAGAATATGGCTTTTCTGACATAAATAGTCATAAATTAGTGAAATCTGTTTGAGAACATACAAGCCCCCTGTTCGCACCAATTTAGTTTTGTTAATAACCGGGAAGATTTGGTTGATCTTCAGAAAGTTTTCTTAGCTGCAGGATTAGCAAAAGGATTCCTCGCTATAAATTGCAGCTTTGATTTGAAATATTAGTTTAATAGATGGCTAACATCTTTCAGATCCTAAAAATAAGTAATAAAAAATTACTTTGCAGGGCACAAGGGCTCACGCTTATAATCCCAGCACTTTGAGAGGTGGAGGACTGCTAGAGCTCAGGAGTTCAAAACCAGCCTGGGCAGCATGCCAAATCCTCTCACCTGTGGTCCCAGCTACTTGGCAGGCTGATGTGGGAGGTTCGCTTGAGCCAGGGAGGCAGAGGTTGCAGTGAGCCGCGACTGTGCCACTGCACACCAGCCTGGGTAAGAGTGAGACTCGTCTCCAAAAAAAAAAAAAAAAAAAAAAAAAATTATTTACCAGGTGAAAGAAAGAAAACAGAAGAGAATAAAACAAAAATAGCAAAGAGGAAACAACTACGAACAGAGACAGGGGAAGCCACTAGCAAAACTAGCACATAAACATAGGCTACGTAGCATCTCTGTTCTTTATTAACCACACTTTGGGATCTGCCAGAAAAAAAAAAAAAATCAAAGTACCTTATATATTTAGGTTTGTGTTTATTTCTAAAATACTTATATGACAAAAGTACTACCTCATATCAAAATATTAAAACAGCTTTGATGGCTTCCAGTTCCCCCGCTGAACCATATGGTTTCAGTTGGGTTTCAGTTGCCCATCAACCCCCGCAATAGCTATCAGAACCAGTCCCACGTACCTTACTTCACAGCTGTCACTCACTTGCAAAAATTCTAATGTCTAATCACAGTACACTTGGGTTATTTCCCTAAGGAACCCACACTTTGTATATATTGTCTCTCTCCCTCTCTTTCTTCTCTCTTTTCTCTCTGATCCCATTATTCATTCTATTCATTCAATACTTTCACCTCCCACCTAGTTTTTTTTTTTTCTTTTAGAGACAAGTTCTGCCGCTGTTACCCAGGCTGCAATTCAGCGGCATGATCTCAGCTCACTGCAGCCTCAAACTCCTAGGTTCAAGCAAGCCTCCCATTTCAGCCTCCCAAGTAGCTGGGACTACAGACACCTGGCTAATTTTGTTTTTAATTTTAGTAGAGACAAGTTCTCACTATGTTGCCTAGGCTGGTCTCAAACTTGTGAGCTCAAGAGATCCTCTTGCCTCAGCCTCCCAAACTGCTGGAATTACAGGTGTGAGCCACCACACCTAGCGCCTCTACCTTTTAACCTGATTAACCTACTCACCTTTCAGAACTCAGGTACATCAAAGCTAAAAACCGTTCCCTAAAATCCTCCTCTGGGATTCTTACAGCACCAAGGGTGTACTCCTATCATAGAATGACAATGAACTGTTGCATTTGTCTCCATACCTGCCAGTTTCCACAAGGAATGTTACATTTACTGAGGTTAGAGACTACATCATGTTAATTTTTGTATCTTACTGCCTAGCACAACACTCGATATATAGGGGTACTCATCTAATGTTTGAAGACTGAGTAAATAGCCAAGATTTATTGAGCACCTTCTGTACCCGAAGTGGTACAGGCATTGTACTAAGGATATTATATTCAAGGTTCACAGAATCTATCAATTCCTTCTCCCAATCTAGAATTTTCTTTGAAGACCCCGACCAGATGTCCTAGCCCTCACCATCTTCCAACTATCAATAATTAGTTAGCCATGCCTCTGGCACATGCAAAAAGTAAGATGATGATACACAAAATATTAACATAAAATTATTACAAGTATCTCTTCCACTGTATCATGTGCTTAAAATCCCTGATTTCTATTCCTCACCTTGACCCCAAGTGACTAGTGATGAGCTGGACATTTGGTTGGAGCCCAATAAATGTTTGTTGAATCACAACCATGGAATTGACAAGAGTCTAGTGATCTTTTTCCTCTTCTAACCATACAGAAAGAAAAAGTCTACCCAGTATACTGCATTAATACGTCCTTGAAAAATTCTGATTTCTAGTTTGGGCCTCAGGATACTTTTGAAGGAGAGTGAAGAGGTTATGTCTTTGAATTAGGAGAGAAATAATTTCACCATAAATCCCCAAAGATAATGGGTTCAAAGGTATGTTGCCCTAAGAAAGTTATTTTATTTTTGTTTGAGGCAAGCCGAAAACTATCCCTTCAACTCAATATGCTAAAAAGATATCCTTCAACTCAATATGCTAAGTTGTTTGTGTGGCCATATGTTCCTATATTTCTAGGTCAGTCTTGATCAAATACTTTTCTTCCATGCACCCCATAAATACACTTGTACTCATCAGCCCATCTGTCCTGCTTTCCTT
Organism: Homo sapiens; assembly: GCF_000001405.40. Taxonomy (NCBI): domain Eukaryota; kingdom Metazoa; phylum Chordata; class Mammalia; order Primates; family Hominidae; genus Homo; species Homo sapiens. The sequence goes on from NC_000002.12 coordinate 50,584,429, forward strand.
GGCTTGGAAACTGTGGTCATTGAAAAAGTTCTATTTATTCCCTACCAACCATCTATCTTTTTTTATGTTTAACAATTTTAAAATTATTTACACTCCCTTTCTGAACAAAAGGAATAAATGGGCAGCTATTGGCAAAGAAGATAAATATGATGAGCTATTCTATGTTGACATCAAATGACTTAGCAAAGTGCAAGTGGTGGAGCAAAGAAGAGCAGGTTTTCTCCTCATAGTTTAAGGGTTCTGTTACCTTAGGTTGGTAAACCAAAATGAACTGGTCTTGGAATGTTCAAGGTCAGTATTGATGCTGCCACTATAGTTTGGTATGCTGGTTTAAAATGCTGCAACCACAGTATATCTACATGAATGTGATGGAAATATGAGAGTTCACAGTATATCTATATGAATGTGATGGAAATATGAGAATCTCAGCCCCATGTAGAAATGAGAAGGTAAATGTATCCCATACACAAAATAAAATAGATGAATAATTCTGGGATGTTCTCGAGTGTGGCATATAGTCACTGACATGGTCACTGCAGTTTGATGCTGTTTCTCAAACTTGAGTCGTGCACACAAAGTTTTTTTTCATAAAAATAAAAGTTTTAGGTCCCTAAGAATAAATTTACATACCTCACCCTCTTCCCACAGATCCTGAGCATTCTGATTTGAAAAATAATGTAGTAGTAGTTTAGCCCATGAATTCTAGTATCAGATCTGGATTCGGTGTTCGGTGTGCTTAGTAACCGCAAAACGTTAGGCAAGTTAACCTTTCTAAACCTCAGTTTCTTCACATGTAAGACCGGGACAAAAAAACCACTACCCTTAAGTAAAATAAGCCAGACACAAAAATACAAATATTGTATGATTCCACCTATATGCAGTATCTAAAGTAGTCAACTCCAGAGAAACAGAAAGTAGAATGATGGTTACCAGGGGCTTGTGGGAGAAGAATATGTGGTGTTGTTTAATGGGTGTAGATTATCAGTTTTGCAAGATGAAAAAGTTTTGGATATCTGTTGCTCAACAATGTGAATATACTTAACGCTAATGAATTATATACTAAAAAATGGTCAAGATAGTAAATTTTATGTAATTTGTTTTTTATGATTAAAAATAATACATGCCCAACAGGATTACAAGAAAACTAAATTTTAAAATATGAATATAAAGTACTTTACCTAATACTTGGCAAAGTCAATGCACTTTATAAATAGAGGCTATTGAAAATAAAGCAATCAAAATTTTCAAAAGTAATAAGCACACAGAAATTTCTACTGATTCCAGTAAACAATTTTCATTCCCTAGTCACTATTTTTAATTGGTTTTTGATGGGGCCTCAGTCAAGAAGAGCAGTGTACTCATTCAGATGATTCATTCATATTGCCAACTTCAGTGATTGCCATGAACCCTGTTCTTTCAGTGAAGCAGTAAGTGGTAACTTGAGAAGTGCCAGCCTCCTAAGAGGGGTCACTGAGTTACATTTGGTCACATCTACTCAGGCATTCTGGTAGGCAACAACCATTTCAAAAAACCTACTGAGCAGAGCCACACAGATTTTCTTTCTTCTGGAGAAAATGGGCTGGTGACATGTCTGTTATTTGAAGCAAGAAGCCAAAGTCCTTCTCAAATTGACTCCCACTCTTACCTCGCTGATACATCCTTTCTCACTTAATTTGCTCCATCTACATTAGCCTTTTTCAGTATGTCTGAAATGCCCCAAACCTACTTACCCTCCAGGGTGTTTGCACTTGCTGTTCTTTCTACCCAGAACGTTCTTCCTCAATATAGCCAAAGGGATCACCCTCATACCTTCTTCAAGTTTTTGCTCACATGCCACTTTTTCAGTGTAGCTCTCTGTGAACATCTTATAAAAATAATTGCCACCATCTTCTTCTTCTGGCCCAGGGACATGTACTTAATTATTTCCACAGTAATAACAGCCACAGATAAATTATATATTTTAAAAATTTATCTAGTGTCTGTCTCCTTCCAGTATAGTACAAGCTCTATAAAGGTAGGAGTCATTTTCCCTTTTGTTCCCTATTGTATACCGACCTATAATAGTGTCTGGTATAAAGTATGCACATATTAAATTTTTTAATGAGTGAATGTATTGGTGCAAGCCTTATTCAATATATTAAAAAAAAAAGTAGACTAATCAAAAGTATTCTCCCCACAAAAGAAACATCTAAGAAAAATTAGTGGCTTCACAAGCATACCCTTATTAAGTTATTTTCCATTAAACTCAAGCCCTTTTCCAGTTCAGTGAGAGGTCTTCTGTTTCTCTACCATTACCCTAAGTGGAAGGGGTTGGAAAACATAGAAGCTAACACCTCAACAGTTGTTGAAACCAATTTGGGAATGTAGAGGTACAGGTAGATAAATGTAGTTAATAATGTATTCATTTACAATAATACAAATTTCCTGTTATAGTAATTAGCTTTATGAAAATATTCCTTAGATTCCTGGTTTATGCTAGAAAATAAAATGTCTATAAATATTATTATATTTGCCATTGGTGTCAATACATGGCTTCTGTTTTGTATTAGGAAAGATAATTTCCAAAGAAAGAAAATACTAGAAAGAATTCACAACAGTGAGACACAAATCCTGAGTTCCAATGCAATCTTGTCTCTACCCAGCTCCCTGACCTTGGGCGAGACACAATCTTTTGGTGTGTCTGGCTGTAACAGTTGGGTTTTGCTGCAAACCTACTTAACTCCAGTGAGCCTCGATTTCCTCATTGGTGAAGCGAGCATAAGAATCCCTGTTTTGGCCAGGCATGGTGGCTCACACCTGTAATCCCAACTCTTTGGGAGGCTGATGTGGGCAGATCACTTGAGAACAGGAGTTTGAGACCAACCTGGGCAACATGGTGAAACACCGTCTCCACTAAAAATACAAAAATTAGCCAGGCATGGTGGTGTACACCTGTGGTCCTAGCTACTCAGGAGGCTGAGGAGGGAGGCTCACTTGAGCCCAGGATGGGGAGGTTGCAGTGAGCCATGTTCAGGTCACTGCACTATAGCCTGGGTGACAAAGCAAGACCCTGTCTTAAAAAAAGAATCCCTGTTTTCCCTATTGCAGAAAGTTGCCTTGTAACTGAAAACCAAGACTCATACCATCGGTGATATGCTAGGTGAAGTTAAGTGGTTCAAAAACTGTATTTAATTTCTGAATTATAGTTATTTGGATGTGTACTTGGAGGGAAAAAAGTATAACTAGCATATTAAAATTGTAAATATATGAATAATATTTAGGATGAGATTAATTTCAAAAGTAAATTGTTTAAATGTAAAATATTAATTAAATGATAAGATAGAGAATACATATATATGTCTCAATTATGAAAGTGATATACATATAAATGGGGTTTGTGAAAAAAAGCTTGAAGAATCAATGTTGATGGTTTGTGAATTTTCTTTCCAAAGTTAACAGTACAAGCCAGGGTAAGATGGTATTTATATATTAAGACAAATGCAAACAAAATAAGATGAAAATAAATGTAAATAATATGAAGTATTATGATTATTTTAGTAAGAAATGATCTTCTTTGTGAGTGCCTATTATATTCTAGGCACTCAATAAGACTAGGCATTTTATCTGTTAGCTAAATGCTTGCTAGCAAACTGACTGCAATTGAGTTAGAGCAAGTTGATTGTTTCCTACATCATACATCCAGGCCATAAATCCAGTTTTGCTGATTCTAGCCTATGTTCTAGGAGAGTTAAAATTTTAGAAACAGCATCCAGAATTCAATAAATATATGTTTTTAAAAAACCAAAAGGCAAATTCCGCAAATGAATAAGCTGCTTTTTTTAACATGCTCCTGATGGCTCCCTATGGCAATACTGTGGAAAAATAGAATCTGAGCCTTATGAACAGGAAATAATAAAAAATAACATTAAACTAAATAGTAACTGTGACACTGGGTCTTTGACAGAGCTCAAAGATTCTGCACCTCATGAAATCATATATTTTAATGGGAAGTGTGTAGAACATATACAGTGTGTATAAACATTGTGACAGTATAGGAAGTAACTAACAGGAACTCTAGAGTGCTGAATGTCTGACTCCTCCGACTTCATCCATTACTGAAAAATTTGTAATGGTAAAAACGTGCCTTCAGTAAGTTATAGTATTTCTGTTCTAGTCTGTTCTTGTCTATTTATTGGCTTTTTGGAGTTTACCTAGTTACCTATTTTCTCTGAGTCTTAATTTTCTCAGATTAATTAGAAATTAGTTATATTTCATCATTAGATATCTAATGATGAGTTTGCTAGTACAATGCCGGTTAGACTACCCACAGTGAAGAGGAAGATGAACCCTACGGCTCAGAGTACCGCGGCAGATCATTTGATGTTACTTCTGTGAAGCGTAGCAAGTCAACTAAATACTTTGACGCCAGTGGAAATGGCGATAATTATAGTAGCGGAGGTGAAGTAGGCTCGTGTATCCACGTCTATCCCTACTGTGAATATATGATGAGCTCATACAATAAATCCTAGGAAACCAATTGATTTCATAGCTCAGACTATGCCCATATACCCGAATGGTTCTTTTTTTCCAGAATAGTATGTTACGATATGGGAAATTATCCCGAAGCCCGGTAGGATGAGAATATAGACTTTGGGGTGACCGAAGAATCAAAATAGGTGTTGGTACAGGATAGGGTCTCCCCCTCCGACTGGATCAAAGAAGGTGGTATCAAGGTTGTGGTCTGTTAATAATATAGTAATGCCAGCGGCCAGGACTGGAAGGGAGAGGAGGAGTAGGACTGCTGTGATTAGGACGGATCAGACAAAGAGGGGTGTTTGGTATTGAGATATGGCAGGGGGTTTATGTTAATAATTGTCACAATGAAGTTAATAGCCCCTAGAATGGAGGAGATACCTGCTAGATGCAGGGAGAAAATGGTCAGGTCTACAGAGGCTCCTGGGTGGGAGTAGTTTCCTGCTAAGGAAGGATCAACTGTCCAGCCCGTTCCAGGTGGACATGGCTCACTGCAACCTCCCCATCCTGGGCTCAAGTGAGCCTCTCTCCTCAGCCTCCTGAGTAGCTAGGACCACAGGTGTGAACCACCATGCCTGGCTAATTTTTGTATTCTTAGTGGAGACGTTTCACCATGTTGCCCAGGTTGGTCTCAAACTCCTGTTCTCAAGTGATCTGCCCACATCAGACTCCCAAAGAGTTGGGATTACAGGTGTGAGCCACCATGCCTGGCCAAAACAGGGATTCTTATGCTCACTTTACCAATGAGGAAATCAAGGCTCACTGGAGTTAAGTAGGTTTGCAGCAAAACCCAACTGTTATAGCCAGACACACCAAAAGACTGTGTCTTGCCCAAGGTCAGGGAGCTGGGTAGAGACAAGATTGGCACTGGAACTGCAAATGCCTATGATTTGCCTGAAAATAGAAGGGAGGGATCTAACTATTGTCTGTTTCCTAGGCACGTGCACCCTCATTAGACTGTAAGCACCACATGAAGTCAGAAACCATTAGGTTTTATTCACTATTATATCCTTAATACCTGGAATACAGCAGATTTTTCATAAGTATCTGAATGAATGTATACACAAATGAATAGAATGTATTTATGGAACACCTGTCATGTGACAATAACTGTGTAAGGTTCATTGCTCAAGTATGAAGCATAGTAAAATAAATGAAGACAATATGTAAGTTTTAAAACACCTTGTAAATGTAAAATGCTACAAAAGCATTTTTAGAGTTTTAAAAAATCATTTACTTACATGCAGTTTTAAATCACAGCCCTCAAATAAGTTCCAAGTCAGAGATTTTATCAAGATTGTATTTACTTTTTTAAAAAATGGAGTTTTATGCTGCTGTGGTTATGGAATGTGCTTGTACAATATATATATACATATACATACTGTTTGATGTAGCTCTATACAATGCTGCTTCTTTATAATATTGCTTATGAACTATTTTGTTTAATGCCACTGCGTCTATGAAACATTATAGACTATTCTGTTAGTATGCACAGCTTTTCCCATGACCTTAATACCTTTATATACCTAAGCAATGAGAGTGTGGGAGAATGTATTGCATTCCCCTGGACAACTAACATTAACTCACTGTTACAGACCTAATATGTGTGCCCCCTCTCCACCCATATTCAGATATTGAAATCCTAACTCCCAGTGTGATGGGGCCTTTAGGAAGTGATGAGCTCATGAGGGTGAAGACTCATGAATGTGATTAGTTACTTCCCTCATAAAAGAGAGCCCAGAGAGCTCCCTTACTTCTGCTATGTGAGGATACAGCAAGAAGATGGACGATCATGAATCAGAAAATGGGCCCTCACCAGACACTGAATCTTCCAGAGCCTTCATCTTGGAGTTCCCAGACTCTAGAACTGTGAGAAACCAATATTTGTTGTTTGAGCTGCCCAGTCTATGGTATTTTTGTTATAGCAGTCAGAATGGACTAAGATCTCAACATACTCTAAATACTCTCAGCAATTGGCTCACCATACTCTAAATAATATAACTCCCTGCCCTGATTGAAAATGTTATGTTCCAAACACAGTCTCCCCCACTGAGGTCTCTGTCTTTTATTAAGTGTTTTAACGTAGTGGTTGACAAAATATATACAAATAATATTGATCAACATGCTGCAAAGAAAAAAGAAAGTGCCCACAGCACTCCAGGGGTTCAACTAACAAACCAGTGGGGAGATGAAATAGAATAGAGCTGGTTCTTTGAGGTCAGGGACTGAGGCTTATTCAACATTTTATCTGAGCTTGTTGTTTATTCAACATTTTATCCGAACTTGGTTTCTAGCATGTAGTAAAATGTCTGATGACTCGACAAAGGAAAAAAAAAAATAGATACCTAACATAAGAAGAGCTATTAGTATAAAGACTCTGAAGCTGACTGCCTCTTCATAATTAGGACAGTCAAGGAAAATTCTACCATACACTATATATCAGATAGATAGATAGATAGATAGATAGATAGATAGATAGATAGATAGATAGATAGATAGATGTATACTAGTCAGGCCTTTAAAAAAGGACAGATAATGACCTACAGAAAGGAAAAAGTAAGCCAAACAATGATAGTGATGTAAAAAAATGTGGGTCCCAGGAAGTTCTGAGTTATCTATTTTTATTTATCATAATGCCTATGATTTCCTTCTTCTTTGAAGTTTCCTCACATCTTATTCCAGTTCTCTTCTCTGCTATTGTGATTCTGTCCGGTTTCAGTGGCTCTTCCCAAGGGGGCTGACGACAGCGAGGCCTCTGTGCTGTGCTGGGGAGGAGGGTGACCCCTATCTGGGACAGCACATGGTTCTCTTCCCTCAGTGGATGCTGCCAAAGCCGAGCAGGGAAATGCGCCCCAGTGTGCATGCTAAATACAAGTTAGGCGCCCTTCAGCGAAGATTTCGGCTTGGCTTCCTTCCCTTGGCTATTAAGCTACATTCCCACAAAATTACTACATGTCTGAGGTTTCTAAAACCTTTTGTGTGGATCTCAAACAGTTACTGTGTTGGATCCAAATTTCGACCTTGGTTAAGCAAGCCTCAAATCCGTTCCAAGCTGCTCCAGGCAGTGATGCTCCAAGGACACCCGATGCAAGGAGGAGATAAGAATAACCTCTACAGCTTGGTGATCACCTACTGTGTGTCAGTCATCGTGCTTCACTCTTTGCATGCGGCATCTCATTTAATCCTCACTATAAACTGTGCTTGCTAGCTACTACGACTACTCTAATTACCACTAATTTACAGATGGCGAAATGACAGTTTAAGGAAATTAAGAAACTTGTTCAAGTTTTACAACCAATAATTATTAAAGGATTAAAAGTATTGAAACCCTAGCAGTAGACTTCCACAGTTGGCAAGGGCCAGGGCAAATGACACCAGAGTGATCTAAACAGCCTGAGTAATAATAAAAGCCATCAATCCAGCACATAAACTGCCTGCACTCTGTGCATCCCAAAAGACAAAGAGAAAAGTAGTAGGCCATGTTTCTTTATGCATCTAGGTGGCAAGTCTATGAGCTGAGAGACAGTCCCTCTGTGAGGAGAAACAGAAGTTCACAAAACAGAGGGCAGGGAGGTTCTCTTAGCTTGTGGCAGGCAATGAGTCAGGAGAGGTAACTTTTGGAACAGAGCTTGCTCTTGGCTTAGGGAGTAAAAAGTGAAAAGACTTCCAAGGACTAACAGGTTCTCTCCTTACACAGGGTAATGAAGGCTATCACACTCAGGGCTTAGACTTTGTTGATTTATAGACTTTGTAATCTATTGCAGTGAGCTTGACTGTTTTGATTCTTTTTTTGATACAGGTATCTAGTTCAGGGGAAAAGATGCTCAGAGTTAGAACCCTTGTGTATAGTTTGAGTATGTGGTTAGCGAAAGCCTAGAGAAAAAAATTTTGGGAAAACAATTTTGTCCAAGTGCAGAGAACAAAACTTGCATTACAGCACCAGCAGCAGAAAGCTTGTCATAAAGATGGGGAAGTGGAGCAGTTTCCCAGAGCACTTTATTTAGGAAGGCCTCGTAGCCAAATGGACCATAATCAAGGTGGTGATCAATAATTACTACTCTAAAAAGCCCCTGGCATAGGCCAAATGAACCTCTCTTTCCTCTCCCTTCACCTTGATGCTCTGCTCTCAATCACTACAAAATGAAATTCTCCCAGATCAGAGTCTGTAGTTTTTGTGAACAAAGTCATTGATCTCTGATCGTGTGTTATTTTTTGTGAAACTTATAAACTTAAGCATGATTAGGTGAATGAATACTGTGGCGGGATAAATAAGGTTACCCAATCTTATGTAAATGCACAAGAATATGTTTGGAGCATATTTTCTTCATTCCAGTCAGCCCAGCTCCACCTCAGTACTTCTGCATTGACAAATGAATTGAAAATGAACACATGGAGTCTGTCATCTAGTCCCAGCAGGGAACTAGTATGATATACTTAAAGGGCACTGAATTTACAAGCATGTATATTTCTCTCATATTTTTCTATCTTTAGAATAATATAAACTGTGAGGTATAAAAATATGGTAATTCAACTTGTCTCTTTGATACTATCAATTTTAAAAGCCATCAAATAAGAAGATTTAGATGAAGAAAAGGAAAACACTTTATGAATCAAATAGACTGAAATGCAATATTATATTTGGGGTTCTATCTGATCCCTGCAGTTAGTGTTCTTACAGAGTAGATTTTGTGGATTAATTGTGTGATGCTATTTTATTTGTTGCTTGCAAAGGGGAAGGTGATCAAAATTCTTTTGACTTATTTAAAAACATCTATATATTTTGGCCACGTTTTAAAGATTAAACAAGTGTTTTAAATGGCACATGATAGTTGTTATTACATCCAACATATCTAGGCTGTTAAAAACATCTTATTGTATGACATATATTGTAAATGTTAAAGAAAAGTAACTATCACCATATGCTTACAGTTGCATGAGGATGATACCCTTGATACCTTAGCCTCTGAAAAGGTATAAAAAAAGGTAAAAATTGTAAAAAAGAAATATATTAATAAACATTGATACATTATTTTGAAATTGACAATCTGAAACAATGATATAAACAAATTTGATTTTGCTTGGCACTTCTCCTTCCTGCTGCCATGCAAATGAAGAAAGACTTATTTGCTTCGCCTTCCACCATGATTGTAAGTTTCCTGAAGTCTCTCCAGCCATGCTGAACTGTGAGTCAATTAAACCTCTTTCCTTCATAAATTACCCAGCCTCGGGCAGTTCTTTAGAGCAGTGTAAGAACAGACTATTACAGATATAATTTACTACATATCACAACTATAGATATTCCCATACGGAAAATGTATATTTGCATTTTTAAATGTATGCTCGCATTTCCTTGGTTTTGTGGTTCATATTTGGTAGTGAGGTATATCAGTCATATGGTCATATTTATGTAAACTGAAACCTAATTCATATGTTTCTAAGTTCCTGTGCCCTAAAAAAATCAACATGCACATCAGCACTGTCGGGGAACCTTTAACACCTGTAGGCGTAAGTATGGGTGAGTCATAGAGGAAGTCATTTGCTCCAGATTATTAAACATGGAAGAAAGACCTCCTGATAACTTTATTACACATGATAACGTGTGCTAGGCTAAGAGAGAGTCATTAAACCAAAAAGCAAAGCCTTCTAATAAAGAGCTGAAGCTGAAGGGAAGGACTAAGAAATGTCTCTTTCTAAGGCCCATAGAAATAGTATAAATGTGTTGTGTGCTACCTAATCATTGAAGAAATAAGATACATTTAAATTTTAGTTATTGATTCTATTCACGCTAACAGCATTTTGAATCCTATAAAGAGAGGACAATCCTGGGGACTTCCTTGTTTTCCCTTTTTGCCATCTTTCACCACAGCGTGTTTTTACCTCTTGTCTTACTCCATCCTATCTCAACACCAGGGGTGACTCTCATACTGCTCAGGGCTAATCACTCCACGATGCTTTAAATCCAACTCATTTATTCATTATTCATATTGTGTCTTTTGTCCACGGTACCCTCTGAGCACTGAGAGGAATTCTAAAATGAATAAGAGTTGACCTCTCTTCTTAAAAAAAAAAAAAAACAAGCAAAACAATAGTGAAACACCAGAGCGGAGATCTTATCTGCACATCCAGATTGGGAAAGCTGGTATGTTGGGGTGCACAAACATGGGGTGTGTATTGTTATGAGGACATGTGGCCACCTGGAATAAAATAGTAAGGAGGGCTTTTGAAATGATGGTGAGACCTCAGTGTGCTGAGTATAAGACACTCGCCCAAGAAAGAGGAGTTTTTCTTAGGCTGTGACCTGATTTGACAGAAAACATATTCTGGGTTTTGGAAGAAAGAAAGAATTTGTTCTCTGGTTATTATTATTATTTAGATATGAGATGCCTTGATGTTATGCAATTTTTCTCTGTACTACTTTTTTGCAAGAAGTGGGGCATGCTCCAAATCCCTTGATTATGATTTATGGGCCAGGGTAAAAAAAGGAAAAAAAAAAAAAATACCCACCTCTCCTCCTACTCCAGTTTGACCCTTCCCCTCTACCTTTGCTCCAGGTGAGAGAAGCACTAAATCACAGATAAGAGCCAGAGTAACATTTATAGCATTGCAAAGATGCCACGGTCAGCATTTGAGGCTATGAGTGTGGCAAGTCCTCCCGGACAGATAGACCTGAGATTAATAGAAACGGATCAAAGACAAGTACCCAGGAAGAATGATTCCAGGAAGATTGGAAGGGCTGCCTCAGAAAATGCATATCACTTGTAATTCTGCCATAGAAAGGGAGAATTTGAAGGCATAAGTCTCTCAGGTGTTTTTTGACTAAAGTCAATTATGACTTTAGTTTCTACTGCCATTATTATCTATGTTCCTTAATAATTCTCCACCAGTTCTGCTGTAGCAAGGAGAAGTGAGAACCAAAATGCTAAAACAATGCAAAAAATAAGCAAAAGCTTTAATGTAAGAATAAACACTGTGTTATAGAGGCTCTTATCTTTCCATCAGTTTCAACTTCTCTCTCCTAATGGCTTCCCAACAATGTCTTGGTTATTTCCTCTAAGAACACTAACTTTGCATAAGCATATATATTCCTAGCTAGAGTAGACTGGTTTCATGTTTGTTTTGATGGCACTGTTATGATCAGGCATCAGAAGCTTCTCCTCAGCCTTTTACTTCTTCCAGCAACAGTCCTTCTCTCTCTTTTTGCTCATGGCCAACTTTCTAAGAAAAACAACCAAATAAAAATACATTGCTTCTTTCTCTTCTTCACCCACTCTTCATAACCTCTTACAATCTGAGTTCTTTGGATAAATATTTTTTTCAAAGATGCTTCCACTACCTTCCACTACCTTTTCTCAGATCGTTGTCCTTTCTCAGATCTTCTCTTTTATAATAGTTGTCTACATCATTCACGATCTATCCCATGTTATTAAAAATTGCTGTGTTTTGGAGCATCTTCTATGTGGTTCTTTGTTGATGTACACCATTTCAAAATGCCAAAATAACCCTTTGTTATCCTACTCCCCTTTCACAGATAAATCACATTAAAAGAAATTATGCAATTTGCCAAAACTGCTGGACTTACGTTTGGAATAGAAATGTCTAATTCCAGATCTCTGACTCTCTCCACTATTCCACTGTGTCTAGACAGTGATACTGTGTAGTTCACAGTAATTTTATTACAACTACTAGAAGAAAGGGCTCAGCCAGGTCAAAACTACGAAAAGCTTTGTATATAGCAGAACAGATGGTGAGGTTTGCCCGTTCTCCCTTGGAGAAGGGACCCATCTGTCTATCTGGCTTGACAGCCTTCAGGAGCCCCACCTGACATGGACATTCAGTAGGGATTTCCCTAGTCTGCCTGGAAAATAAAATCTATTTGGATTGCTCCTCAGGTGCCTATGAGGAACGTGGGAAAATTCCTAGGACTTTTTTTTTTTTTTTTTTTTTTTGACCCAGTCTCGCTCTGTTACCCAGGCTGGATTACTGTGGCACGATCACAGTGCGGTATAACCTCTGCTCCTGGACTCAAGCAATCCTCCTGAGTAGCTGGGACAACAGGCACACGCCACCATCCAGTTAATATTTTTGTATTTTTTGTAGGGATGGGGTTTCACCAGGCTGATCTCTAACTCCTGGGCTCAAGCTATCTGCCTGCCTCAGCACTCCCAAAGTGCTAGGATTTCAGGAACGAGTCACCGTGCCCGGTGGGACATGCTTCTTAATGAACAAAGTCATATGGAGGGTCTTGTCTTGAGGAGGGACATGGCTCTGTCTTAGGCTTTAGTTGGGTCTCTGTTATAGCTAGCTCAGAAGAGACTGACCCTCTAGCCATATCACAATACCCCAAACCTTTGAATGATGTGTCAGCAGGGATACAGTCTCTCTTATCTACTACTACAGCAGCCTGAGGATCTACTTTCAAGGTTCTATCTCACCCTCTCCAGCCATAAGGCCCCCTCTCAAGCTGTTTCCTCTTGTGTTAACTGTCATTCAGCTAGTGCCCTACCCTGGGATACATTCCTTTCCTCTGATCTCTTCTCTTCCCTGTCTTATCTTCATACCTTCATTCTCTAAAGTGGGTGCATCTCAATGTCCTGATGGTTCTGGTTTTCTCCCACGTCTCCTCATTAAACTTCCCAGAATGAGCATGGCATATCCAAATGTTCAACACCTCCTCCATGTGAATGGCTCCTCATCTCTCTTCTGAGAACCTGTTCTGCATTCCTCTTTAACTGCATGTTTCTGAAGCACTGCAAAAATAGGTTTTCTTGTTTGCTGCTCGGCAGCCAACACACATTCAGAATGCTGCTCAGTGTTCAATAAATGTTTGTTAAGCAAATAAATGAGTGAGTCTAAAAAAATGATTTGAGTCTCCCCCTGTCTGTCTTCATTACCTTTTCTGATAAAATGCCCATTCCCAGCGGGGCACAGTGGCTCACGGCTGTAATCCCAGCACTTTGGGAAGCTGAGGCAGGCCAATTACCTGAGGTCAGGAGTTCAAGACTGGCCTGGCCAATATGGTGAAACGTCATCTTTACCAAAAATACAAAAATTACCCGGGCATGGTGGCAGGCACCTGTAATCCCAGCTACTCGGGAGGCTGAGGCAGGAGAATTGCTTGAACCCGGGAGGAGGAGGTTGCAGTGAGCCAAGATGTGCCATTGCACTCCAGCCTGGGCAACAGGGCAAAACTGCGTCTCAAAGAAAAAAAAAAAAATCCCAAAAGCCTCAATACCTCTACCCGGTGAATTTACAGAACAAATAAATGAATGAGTCCAAATCAAAACTAAATTTTGCCTGCCCTTATCCAGTACTCTTCCTGCCACTGCACTGACATCACAGCACAGAGGAGGGAAACAGCCCTTAGAATCACATTGATTTAGTTTGCATCTTTGTTCAGTCTCTTAACAGGATGCAGCCTTGGAAAAGTTACTTAGCTTCCTTGAGCCTCCTCTATAAAAAATTAAAAAAATAAAAAATAAAATAAAATAAACTTTTTTAAATCAGAAATAATTACTCTTCAAGTTTAAAGACTAAATAGCATGTGTAAAATGCCCCAAAGCCATTTATACACATACTTATAAGCTGTAATCCTAACTCTCCTATATATGTGTGTATATATATATGTGTGTGTGTGTGTGTATATATATGTATATATGCGCGTGTATATATACATATATATACATGTATATATGTATATATGTGTGTGTATCTATATACATATATATTCATATATATGTGTATGTATATACATATCTATATATATATACATATATATGTATATATACACATATATATGTATATATATATATTTTATTTTTGTTTTGTTTCGTTTTTTGAGACAGAGTCTCTCTGTGTTGCCCAGGCTGGAGTGCAGTGCTGTGATCTTGGCTCACTGCAACCTCCGCCTCCCAGGTTCAAGTGATTCTCCTGCCTCAGCTGCCCAAGTAGCTGGGATTACAAGTGCCCGCCACCACACTTGGCTAATTTTGTTTTGTTTTGTTTTGTACTTTTAGCAGAGACAGGGTTTCACCATGTTGGCCAGGCTGCTCTCGAACTCCTGACCTAAAGTGATCCACTCGCCTCAGCCTCCCAAAGTGCTAGGATTACAGGTGTGAGCCACCATGTCTGGCCAACTCTCCTATTTCTTTTAAAGATACATCAACTACCTCATTTAACACTCACAAAAACCGTATCTGTAGATACTTTTATGTCTCCACCTTACAGATGAGGAATCAGAGGGACTGAGAAAATGACTTATTTGCCCAAGGTCACACCAAAATAAAATCCTAGGCAGTATTACTACAGAGTTCATGTAAGAAATATTCTTAGATTGCAAGCTCACTAAGAAAGCCTTATAAAAATTCAGCCCTTACAAAAATGGGCAAGCCACACCGCTCCAAATAAATTGTGCCTTTAGAAGGTGGTCACTACTTACTGAAGTAATAAAGAAATATGTTTACCTGTTGAAATCTGACTTCTCGGTTCAATGCTCAACTATTTTAGAAGAAAATTTGTATCTCTAACAATGCCAAATGCAGAATAAATATTCTTGCCTTGAAAATTATGATATAATAAAGAAAACATACTTGGGAATGTTTTTCCAAAGACATAATGAGTATTGCATGAAAGAGGACTTTTAAGTTAAAGTGAGAAACAGAAATAATTCAAGGGAAACATGCTTTACTGAAAATTATATAAGTCAATATCCCAGAAACCAAGTAACAATTTATTCGTCAGAATAAGGAATACATGATCAGGAAATTTGTCTGGCTAATTGAAGTTGAAGAGGTTGCACTTGATGAAAAGGAAATCATCAGAAACGCCTGGATGTTTCCTATAAGAAGCTAAAATATGCATTATAATTCCAGCTGTGGATAGAAATTTAATGCATTTTTACAAGGTACAAAGGGTGAATAATTGTTTTGTCAGTTGATGGGGTGGATTTTAGTTATTTTAATAACTATAACCTAATTGAAGGAAAGCAGAATGGCATATCAGAAAATGGGGGATACAAAACCAAATGGTGGAAAGCAAATTGATTGCTTATATTAGAAATTAATTATATATTAAACTACCCAGAGTTCTAGATAAAATTAGGAACAAAAATAATATTTTAGAAGAGATGTGTCTGACTAGCCAAAAGCAAGGAGAAATGCAGAATGTCACTGAAAATCTAAAAATAAAAGCCTGAGGTAAAGTGATTATTTCCTCAAAGAATAAGGATGCACATAATGTATCATAATTTCTTAATTAGAGTTCTATGACAATTGTAGTTACATCCTTCCAGGGATAGATATATTATGACTTGCAAAGTTTGCTAATGGCTGAAAATAAACAAAAAAAAATAGAAAAATTTCTAGGTAAAAGTAGTTAAGACTAGCTTTTTTTTTTTTTTTTTTTTTGAGACAGAGTCTCACTCTGTTACCCAGGCTGGAGTGCAGTGGTGCCATCTTGGCTCACTGCAACCTCCACCTCCCGGGTTCAAGTAATTCTCCTGCCTCAGCTTCCCGAGTAGCTGGGATTACAGGCGTGTGCCACCATGTCCGGCTAATTTTTGTGTTTTTAATAGAGACGGGGTTTCACCATGTTGACCAGGCTGGTCTCAAATTCCTGACCTCAAGTGATCCACCTGCCTCAGCCTCCCAAAGTGCTGGGATTACAGGCATAAGCCATCACGCCCAGCCAAGTCTTGCTTTTTGGGGGCAAGGAATAGTAATAAATGTAAAAGACCTGTTTTATGGACCCTGGAACAGCTCATGACTTTACTTAGAAGTTTCTACAGAAATAACTAAAGAATGACATTTCTCCAAAACCAGTTGAAGAACTTTTTAGTTAGATGATGACAGACAAGAAAGTCAAGGTTAATTTGAGATATGCTGGTAGAATCCTAAGATCATTAAAGCTCTGGTATGAATAAGAAAAGAGAAAATGACATGAAGGATTCTGACATTTAGAAAACTAGCAATGGGAAAATGCCTTTCACATTCTAAGTTTATTTGTGAATTAAAAAAAAATGAAAAAAGAAGTATTGGGTTATGTTGTAGATGCTTCTACCAATATGGTTATTATTTTATTAAGTTGAAGATCTTAGTGAATTCATCAAGGATACCTGACTGATGAGACATCTTGGCAAAAAAAAAATAATAATAATTTGGAAGAAGTCACTTAATCTCACTGTGCCTTAATTTATTCACCTATTTAACTACAGGGTTTATTTCCCTAAACAGTATGATATATACTCTTTATATTTTTTCTAGTGTTAACATTTTAAGCTTATGGAAAAACATGACTACCTACGAGAAAAATAAAAGTAAATTAAATCAGTGTGTTGTGAAGATCCCATGTGTTTCAGCATTCATCAGACTGAAGGCAGTCTCCAAAACATCCAAACAGGGTTTTTGAGAATTTAACTCTTGGATCTGTTCTTCAAGTAGTATAATACGTGGTTTGACATGCATGCTAGACACCTGTTTTTCAGGATGGTACCAAAACAACAGAAATTCTGATGAATTATGTCATTCGAGTTATCACAATTGATTATTCAAATAACTCTCCGTAATTATGATCTTGACTTCTACAATGTAATTATAAGAAAGTCAGTTGTTCAAAGATATCCAAAATGTTCACCCTTGGCAAGCGATGGATGGGAAGAGTGGTGACAAGAATCTGAAATTTGAAATTAACCTGATGTATTTGTAAGTTTTTCCTAACAATGTTGCCGTCCATTAAGGACTGTTTTTAGTGGACTTTCTTAAGCTTGTATAGAGTTGACCTGAAGGATTTAAAAACCATTTCAGTTTATTCAGTGTTTGCCATGTATGCCATACACATCATACACTGGAGTACATTTAAATATCATTAAAATGTACCACTGCATAAGACAGGTCTGCTCCTTCCTTGTTCTAAGGTAATTCTGTTTCATGGGTTAGTCAGACACAAACCGGTGTTATCACACAGAACTGTCACGTATTTGATCTGCAATGTTCACCGGTTACATGGAGCTAAGAAATATACAGAAGCTAATAGAGTTATAAAGAGTCTGGACCAAGAATCATAAGACCCAGTTATGAGTTGTTAAAAGTGAGGGTGAAACATGTCCCTTCAGTTTTCTCATTTTAAATAAGACTAAATGATCTCATCTTTTTTATTTTCTTTAAAATTTTAAGGCCTTATGCAAAAGGCTGAAAATCTAAATGGCTAAGATTTAATGGAATCCATAGGATTTCAATGAGATTTGGAAAATTCATCAACTATGTGGCACAGAAAATACAGACAGCACACATGTACTATATTCTGTATGGGATATCAGGACCAAAACAAAACAAAAAAAATCACCATCCAGGTTGATAAATGGAAAAAAGAGGGTAGAGATCTCTTCCTGATACATCCTCAGAGAAGATTTTGGCCTCCCTAAAAATTCCACTGAAAGTTAGGTGTCTCTAATGTTCATTTTTCTTTTTTTTTTCTCTCAAGCTTCATAGAGATCCTCTATATTTAAGTTTCAGTTTTGTTTATCTTTAAAGATCTCTTCACTGTTCAGAATTTCTTTTCCAGAATCAACAATCACTTTCCAAAAATTGCTCTTATTTTTAAATTTTGTACATTATTTTTTCCATCAAGAAAGATGATTATCAAAAGGAAGTTTCCTTCCTTCCTTCCTTCCTTTTTCTCTCCCTTTCTGCCCCCTTTGCTCCCTTCTTCCCTTCCTTTCTTTTAAAATTACTGATGGCTCAGATACACTTTCTATTCTTCATAGAATAAAAGGGAACATGTATTCTGGCAAAAAAGGAAACAGACTTTACTGACCCAGAAAAGAAAGCATGTTTTGAATCTCATCCATCTCTTCCACTGGCATTTTAATGTCCTCCCATAATTACACACTGCTTGCTTAGCATGTGTGATCATAGGACCAACTACAGGGATGGCTTCTCACTCTTTGATTTATATTCTTTAATGGACTCCAGCCCTGGGGCCAGCAGAGCTAGAACAGAAGACGCAGTCTGCCCCTGATATTTCCTGGTCTTTGCCAAGAGTTTGCAGTCAAAAACTCTCCTAGAAATCATTTCCTAGAGATAATCATTCTTAACATCTATCCTCTGGAAGAGATCTCTCACCTGTTCACAAGCACCATACCTCTCAGAGAATCAAACAATTATTTAAAAATGGACTATGAGGCAACTGCACACAGAGCTTATCCATCTACCTTTGCTAGAATACAGAGAGGCATGGAGCAGTGGAAGCATATCCAGTATTTTGAATTTTTAAA
Organism: Homo sapiens; assembly: GCF_000001405.40. Lineage (NCBI taxonomy): Eukaryota > Metazoa > Chordata > Mammalia > Primates > Hominidae > Homo > Homo sapiens. The sequence continues at coordinate 50,603,207 of NC_000002.12, forward strand.
AACATCATGTGTTTTGATCATATACCCTATGACTGGACTATGGGACCAGCTTCAGGTTTAAAGCAGTGAAGCTGTTTGATGGAAACCTGTAAAACTTAATGAGAATGCTGAGCTCTAGCATCAAAGCCGTTGGCTGGCTCAGAAAGGCTGTGGGGACGTGGGCAGAGGCAGACTTTTACATCTTGTGCTGCTTCTTGATAATCTGATTCTTGGATGCTTTGCCCAACTTTACTTAAAAGGGGAAAAAGAAAGAAAGAAAAACTAAGCAGGCAGATAGGAATCTCTTTCAACACACTTTTTTCTTAAATTTGAAGAGGATTTGGTTTGTTAGTTTGCTTTTGATCAAGGAGATGGTAGTGGTAGAAAATTCTTGTCTCTCTTACCTTTTTGGAATAACTAAGGTCACTTAGTGTGATATGCTGGGACCCCTTTGGCTAGATGACTTTTCAGTAAGAACTTTAAGAAATTTATATAAAAATGTTTTCTGTGTTTGCAACCACAGAACTTAAATATTATTGTAGAGAGGGACCTTAAGGTACACAGAGATTAATGCTTTCACTTGAAAGATGAAAACCCTAGTGCTCATAGAAGTTGAATAAAATGCATTGCGTTGCACTCCACATAGACTGGTCAACCTTGATCACTGGGTAGTCTAAACGATTAAAGACTGCATCTCATGAAGCCAGTTTTGTTAGTTCCTTCATGCTTCCGACCACTCAAGCTCCCCACTCCTTTTCACTTTAATCTGAAGCATATCTGGTTTGATTGCTTTGTTTGGGCAGAAATATGTAAATTTTGCTTGTGTTTGTATTTTGTATTCTTCTTTCTCCAAAACTGTAAAAAGTCACCTTAATTCTACCTTTGAAGAATCTCTACACTGTATCTCCCACTGGATCTGTTTCAGTATATTTACATGGAGGCTTAGGCTCTTTTGATCATTTATTCCTATAAAATGCTGATTCTATGCAGAGTTTTCTAGAAATATCCATGGCAGTGAATAATAAACAGCAGCCTTGATTAGGGTGAAGTTGTTTCCCTTGCATCATTTGCTTCTGTATCACCTTATATTTCTGTTAAAAATGCGGGTCTACTGTTGAATCAGAAGCAAGGGGGACATGAAGCTGCAGTTTAATAAGCTCTCAGATGATGCTTATGCACAAAACTCTGAACCACTGACCTACAGGGTAAAACCCAATTCCTTTCCTGCAGCAGTCACATCCTGTCATTACTTTATCCATTTCAACATCATTTATCCAAACTTTTATCCAGCACAATTATTGACCTCTTTTCCCCATGCATCTTTTCTCCAGACACACTAATTCCAGATATACCCTAAACACATCATTTATTATTTTACACCTGCACCTTTTCTCCAACTTTTCCTGTCTCGACTCTTATCTCTATTTTTGTTTACTTGGTGACATACTACTTTTCGTTCAGTGCCATACTACTTTTCTCAAATGTTACCTCCTTGGGAAAGCCTTTTCCTAAATATTTCTCAGTCACCATCCCTATACTGCGTTGCAATAGAATGTAGCATAAATCTCTCTTATAGAACCTGTTTCATTTGAATGTAATTACAATGAATCTACACAAAGGTTATAGAATACCTACTATGCCCCAAATTATACCATTAAAGAAATAAAAGTCACAATCTCTACCATCACAAAAATTACTATCCAGCTTTTTTCAACCCAAATCCTCATCTGAAACAGAGAAAACAGAAAGGTATTTGAGTATTTCCTCAATTCTCCCAAGGAGGATACATAACTAGCACCATTACATACAACAGATGTCTTAGGGCTTTAGGGTTTCATCTACTTGGGAAACCCCAGTTGATCAAATACTGGTAAAATTACATTACAGTAGCAATAAATGCTATGATAGAGATAATTCAAAGGTGAGATGAAAAAGCAGAAATATCTAATTGAGTATGTGTTTATCTCTCCTCAACCATGTCTTAATCCTGTTTCTATGCTTATTTAGCATCTAGATCAGTGCCAATTATGTTGTGGTCATTGAATACATTTTATTATTGAATTAAAGGCATTGTAATTCATTTTTATTAGTGTGACTCTTTGGAATCTGGCCGAGGCAATGTGAATTATCCATATTTGTAAATCCAGCATCTAGTCAGTGCTTAAGATACTGTTGGCACTCAGTGAGGGCTTGTAGAATAAATGAACACATTTGGAGGAGTTGCCCTATTCTCCAGTAGAAACTCAATAGCAATGACAACAATAACCCAATTAAAAATGGGCTACGGACTTGAATAAACATTTCTTCAAAGAAGAAATACAAATGGCCAACAGGTATGTAAAAAGATACCCAACGTCAGTAATCACCAGAGAAATGCAAATTAAAACTACAGTGAGATATCACCTCATGCCTGTTAGGCTGGCTATTATTAAAAAAGACAAAAAAGAAAAAAACAACAACTGTTGGAGAGGATGTGGATAAACTGGAAGCTGTGTACACTGTTAGTGAACATGCAAAATGGTGCAGCTGCTCTAGAAAACAGTATGGAAGTTCCTCAAGAAAATAAAAATAGAATTATTATATCATGCAGCAATCCCACTTCTGAATATTCAGCCAAAAAAAAAATGAAGTCAGAATTTTTAAGAGATATTTGTACTCCTATGATCACTGTAGTAGTCTTCACAATAGCCAGGATGAGCACACAACCTAAATATCCATTGATGGATGACTGGATTTTTTAAAATGTGGTATATACATACAAGGGAAAATTATTCCGCCTTAAAAAAGAGAATCAGCCAGGAGCCTGTAATCCTAGCACTTTGGGAGGCCAAGGCAGGCAGATCGCTTGAAGTCAGGAGTTCAAGACCAGCCTGGTCAACATGGTGAAACCCCATCTCTACCAAAAAATACAAAAATTAGCCAGGCATGGTGGCATAGGCCTATAATCCCAGCTACCTGGCAGGCTGAGGCAGAAGAATGGTTGAACCCGGGAGGTGGAGGGTGCAGTGAGCTAAGATTACGCCACTGCACTCCTGCCTGGCCAACAGAGTGAGACTCTGTTTCAGAAAAAAAAAAAAAAAAAAAAAGAAGGAAATCCTGCAATATATGTCAACAAGAATGAGCCTGAGGACATTATGCCAAGTGAATAAGCCAGTCACAGAAAGATAAATACTGCATGATTCCACTTACAAGAAATATCTAAAACAGTCTATGTCATAGAAGCAAAGAATAGAATTGTGGTTGCCAGGGCCTGGGGCAAGGGAGAAATGGGGAGTTGCCAATCAATAATTATAAAATTTCATTATGCAAGAAGAATAAATTCTAGAGATCTGCTGTATAACATTGTGCCTCTACATAACAATACTATATTGCACATTTACATATTTGCTAAGTGGGTAGATCCTATGTGAGCTGCTCATACAATAATAATAATAATAATAATAATAAAATAAAACTTCTTTCATATATTAGAATATATTCATTTGGCTAGATGACATAGTTATCTTTTCCCAAGCCACCCATCAATTTTACAGTCAGTTCTTCCCTCTCAGTAAGATTGAAAATTAAAGAATAATAAAGTTTTAGAATTGAAAAAAGTGATAGTTTTAATTTGAGGATCAGAAGTAATACTTAAAGAAAAACTACTAGGAATGCAAAATTCTTCCTTTGTGGTTAATCTACATTTATAACTATTCCACTTGACATTTAATTGCTTCGCGTGTTATGTGTATTTCAAAGACAAAAAGAAAGAGTTTATTAAGACTGCAAATGAAGTGAAAAAATGCTGCATTTTTCTGGGTGGACAGTAGGGGTGGTGGTGGTATTTTCAGTGTTATTGTCATCTAACGAAGCCTAATTTAGTTTGAATATATATTTTGGAACAAATAGCCTCCAAACACAAATTCAGTTTAGGGGAAGATAGTGTGAAAAGGGATAAAATGCCATAAAATTCTGATGTCCTAAAGAAAATGTGAGAGTCTGGGACACCTCCTTGTTCTCTGCAAAGCCTGCCGCCAGCTCACTTCAGACAAAGTTGTCTTTTTATAAACATGATGTAAGCATACACTCACAAGCTCTCTGGAAATAATGATGTTTCTACTTGTGTCAGTTAAAGGCATCCCTTTGTTCATCTAATCACCAAGAAAATTTCAAGGCAGGTGTGCTTCAGTTTAGAGAGGTGCCGTACTTCATGGGTGCCTCTAAGGGACTCTTTACAAAATTCATGCTGCAGAAGCAGCATTCCCCTAAATGGTTGCTTAAGACTGCAAATCCCCAACTGTCCAATTTATATCCAAGGAAGAGTTTACTTTCTTTAGGGCATAAGCCATTATATTACAAAGTCATTAAAATGGAAATAAATACATAAGTTAGCAAATTGTGGTAAGGTAAAATAATCTTATATAAACCATGGCCTAAAAATAAAGAATATATACAGAATTCAGCATGAGGATATTACCATACAGAAATGATAATTAACCAAAGTAAACCTGCACACAGTGATTTTCTGCATTTTGGCAAGTGAAAAATTTTTGCTATGAAAGCAGGACTCTAAAAATCAAAAAAAAAAAAAAAGTAAAGGAGACCTAGTTTTGAATTGATATTAAAACACACAGGCATTTTACTTTAATGGTCATGGGCTTAGGTCCAACTATTTCAGAATCCAAAGCTTATTACTTAGATAGTCAACGCACATCATTCCAAGACTGCAGCTGCTCCTAATTTGGATTGTTAGGGGATTATCCCTATAAGAGTCCTCATGGCTCATCTGCCCTCAGTGTAATCAGATGAGAAGATCCTGACTTCCATCTCCAGAAAGAAGGCCAAGCCCACCTGGGGCCTGGGGGTAAATGAGAAGCCCACATGGGTAAATGAGAGCTTCTGTGGGATCTTGACACCGAGATGCTGAGACTCCAACTGTAAGCCTCAGAGTCACTACTGAGCTACAAATCAGCAGTTTTACATTTATTATTTCTAAAATCTGGATTTGAGTTGCAATCAAGGTATATCCTGATTTAGATTAATTGGCAGTGTTTCGTGATCCATAAAATAATTGTGCACCAATACTGCCAATGATGACAATATAATATGGTGGTTGACGTACTCTAGCTCAGTGATTTTCAAACTTTAATATGTATATTAAATCACTTGGGGATCTTACTAAAATGTAGACTCTTTCAGTAGATCATGGGAAGGGGCATGAGTCTTTTCATCTTTAACAAGCTCTTAGGTGATGCACATGCTGCTGGTTCACATCCACAGCTTGTTTAGTAAATCTCTAGGTATGCTATGAGTTGTTCATGGGCTTTATTTCCTTTTAAACTACCTAAAAACTACAGCTTTTAGTTACATGTCCTTGTTTAAAAATTGTTCCTATATCTTCTATGTAGCTTTATATGCACATATTGTTAAACAGATAATAAACCAAATAATTATTAAATAATAACTAAAGGTAATGTTAATGAAAGATTGGTTTCAATCCTTGATGATCACACCTTATAGCCTGGATACCTTGGGGAAGAAAATGTTACTGAATAAGGTCAATTTACTCTTTCAAACAAACATTTCAGACGCTCATATGAGACTCTGCTTGGTTTACAGGTAGTGAACACAGGCAGGGAAGACTAATTGCTTCTGAAAAATAATGCGAAATGAAATCTGATGATGACAATGATAACATTCTTAAGAACTAAAATAATTACTTGTATTTGAACTATAAAAATTAACTGACTATTCCCAATTCAGTTCCTTTACAAGGTACCCATATTTAAAAAAAAATCCAGTTTCTTATTTATCTCTACCAATTTTTGATACATTAGATAGTGGATGTCATCATTTAGGATAGCAAAATGGAAAGCACACTGGGCTTGGAGTCAATAAACAGAGGTTTCCTTCTGACTTTTTTCACATATTAGGGATATGGCTCTGATAATATTATGTATGATTTGTGGTCTCCAAGTTAATTCAATTTTCTCACAAAGCTCTTAGAACAATTAAATGAAACAACTTTTAATATGAGACAATGTGTGCAAAATCTCATAAATTCATCTGCAACCAGGACAATTCACATATTTGTAGGGGTCAGTGTAAAATGAAAATGAGAAGCCCTCTGTTCAAAAGTTATTAAGAATTTCAAGATGACAAGAAGAAGATATTAAATGAAGAGCAGGGCCCTTCTATGTGTGGAGCCCCATGTGACTGCATAGGTTATAAGTCCATGAGAAGGCCCTGTCTGCAAGATAATTGTAGCTAATCCTCACTATATTAATAGAGTATTAATAAAGTTTATACTTGATTGAGATATTACAATATACCAGGCACTACTCTCAGAGCCTCAATTACATAGTCTCACTTAATCCTTTACAGGGGAAAGAAACTGAAGCACAGAAACATCAACTATCTTACCTCAGGTGATACAACTACCAAGTTTAAGGGAGCCAAGATTGGAATCTGGGAGTGTCTGATTCTAAAGCCATTCATCTTAACTAATTTAATGCAATGAGTTATCTATAAAAAGTTATTGTTATTCCTGTTTAATTCAAATTTAGAAACCTAGGCTCACAAAAATACGTCCATATTTCAAGGGCAATTCACTTACTATGACCTTGATTAAATGACCTATGTCAACCTAATTGTCTTATATCCCTAGTACTCCACAGAGAGCCTGGTACATAGTCCATTGTCATGTACTATATATAAAACTAAACACTCAGTCACCAATTTTTCTGTGCACAGAATATTTACTCCACAAAGATAAAAATCTCATTTTCCTATTATTCAAAATCACATGCTTCGGAATAAGAGTATTATTTTCATTTAAAAGCAATTAATTTGTTTTAAATGTGTTTCAAGAGTGATGATTTTCCTGGGGAAAAAAAGACACCAATTAACATGCACAGAAATAATTTCCTTCCAAACATAAGGACTTTGATCCAAAGATCTAAAGACAAGAGTATATCATCTCATAATAGAAATTAAGAGGAACTCCAAAATACTCATTTTGTTTTGGATGAACTTCAGATTTTTAAAAAATATGGCTCAAACTTAGTTAAGTAACAAACTTAAATTTATATGAAGGTGTTTTTCTTTTTCTTAGCAATGTGTTTTCTGATCCTTCATCTCATTTTATCTTTCCTATTCTTTTCCAATTGTGATAGTGGAACTAATTCACTGAGCTTCAGTCCCATACAATATCATGCCCAGTATACAACTGAGCAGAGAGACAAACTCAGATTACTTGATTACCTTGTCTTTGAAATTATTACTAATGTCCTCTGCAAAGCTAATTACAGCTTCCATTGTATTATTAGAGAAATTTTTCATACCTCACTTAGGAAGCTTGTATTGTAAATCTATACTTATTTGCCCAACTCTCTCTCCAGATTCCTGAGTGCATTATCTTACTCATCTATGTGCCCCAGTGTCTAGCACAGAGCCTGGCACATACTATAAATAGATACATATATATATATATATATATATATATATATATATATCTGTACAAAACAGAATAGCCAGATCACTTAGCCCATATACTATAGTCATTACTAGAACATAGCTTGTAATTATATTTATATATATATATATATGTATATATATACACACACACATACATTTATATATATTTTTTGAGACAGTCTCGCTTTGTCATCCACGCTGGAGTGTAATTGCACGATTTCGGCTCACTGCAACCTCTGCCTCCTAGGTTTAAGCAAGCACGTTTCACTAATTTTTTGTATTTTTAATAGAGATGGGATTTCACCATGTTGGCCAGGCTGGTCTTGAACTCCTGATTTCAAGTCATCTACCTGACTTGGCCTCCTGCAGTGCTGGGACTACAGGCATGAGCCACTCCACACCTGGCCCATACTAGATAGTTTTAATGTTGATTAACATAATGCACACATGCAAGTGTTAATGCATAAGCAAATGGAGCAATTTAAACAAGATGCTCTGGTAGGTGCTGAAATTAAGAGAAAATGTTCAGTCTCAGACATTGTTCATTGCTGCTTTCTACTGGGCTGAAAAATGTCATATTCTATAAAATGTATCAAGTCCTCAGAATTAAAATGTCACTGAACCCCCTGACAGACCATGCTATGCTAGCTTGATATTTGAAAGCACTACAATTCATTATGCCAACTGCTGATACTGTTCCAGGCTATGGGGCATCTGCTGAAAATGATGGGAAATAAAAATCTGTGGGTCCCCTGGAAAGGAAAGATTCTATGTTTGAAAAGCTGAATTCCAGACAAGAACTCACCAGATGCTTTGTGGACTGAAGAGCTGGGTTCCATTTCCTTGGGGACCTGAGCAGATGGGACTCCCTGAATCCACTTTCAAAGAGGAGTGTCTATGGCAAGGTGCCTGGTTTCTGCCCCAATTGTTTATTTCCCTTGCCTCCAAGGCTACAATGCACAGAAGTGAACTTATCCTTAGCAATGTATAGAGCCAATACTTTAGAAAATCTAAAAATCTAGAAAGTACTTCCAAATGTGTTTTCTGTGCATTCCTGTTTGTATGGCTGGCTACACAGTATGGAAAATAAAGCAAGCATTATCTTAGTTTGCCTTAAGAGGAGGAAAAGTGTGCAGGCTGCCAGAGTAGGGAAGAGGTTCACAGAGGTAACAGCTCCAGACCAATTCAACCCGGGGAGTGGGAAAGATTCCACTGAAAGCTCATATATAACTAACTGGGCATCTGAGAAATATTTCCTGCTGCTTCTTCTCCCCAATCAGATCTTCCCTTCTCTGACATCCCAGCAATCTAGGCTGCATTTTTCTGTTTTCTTTTCCCTAAAGGTTCCTACGAAGCTCATTTCGTCTAATTTTATCTTTATAAAAATACTGAGAATGAGAGAAGTGAAGTGAGATTGTAATATGATACGGGGAGCAACACAGAGTGGCAGTTACGGGCAAGGATTTCGCTCTCAGATTATTTGGGTGGGAGCTTAGTTTTGTTACTTACTAATTATTTTCCCCTAGGTCAGTTACTTCACTTTTCCTATCTCCATGTCTTCATTTGCCAAATAGGGATAGTATTTATGTGTACCTCTTTTCATGCTTAGAGTATTACCTTTGCAATTATGAAGCTCTGAGAAACTGGTGGTGCATCCCTCTCTGCAATATAATAATCATAATGTATTCAAAAAAGGGCTAGTAAAGACAAAATACCAGAAATCCACCAAAAACTTGTTTTTTTTCTTCTTCTTCCATTACTCCCTTTCTGATAGGTTTGAAATACCAAGTATCAAATTATTTCACACAGTTTCATGGATTTGTTTTTGCAAAGTTGTTGTTTTACTGTGTTCCTGATGCCCCCAGGCACATGCCTCTTGGGTAACTCACTGGATGTTGTTGAAATTTTATGAGAAATAAAAAATGCTTAATATGTTATTATTATGCTTTCTCTGGAATATGCTGACTCCCTTACCCCTTCAGCAAAAGCTCCTACTTTTCATGTACATTTGTATAGAGCCTAGTACAATCATAGGCACATTGAGGCACTACAGTGTTTATGCCATGGGGGTTTGTTTGAATGATCTGATGCAGGTAAAGTGCTCTACTAACAGGACTATCAACTCAGGGATGGCACTCACAGCCATGTGTTCTGTTGAGGTCTCATGAGTTCTCATTTGCATAAGGGAATGATTATTATTAACCTGCGTGCGTTATTGTGAAGACTTTTAAAAGGAAAGGAGGATTTTTGCAGTCTACTATTCTACACATGAAAGGAGGCAAGGGTAATCGACCTCTGCATTTAAGTACTGACACTATTACAGTAGAAGGACTGAAATACATTTCAATATTTCCGAGATCTAGAAGAAACTAGGCTGGGCCTATAACAAACTGGGTTAATGACACATAAGAATTTGTCAAAGCCTTTGACATTTCCACAAACCCCATCTAGCTTTCTTGTTAAAGTTTTCAAAGCAAAACTATCATCTTCCATGTTTTAAATCAGGTAGAAAAAAAATTTCTTTCTATACCTGAACTTCTGCCAAAAACATTAAGCCCATTTGCCTATTCTAGATGGGCTAAACCAGCCTCTCTCTGAGTCACTAAACCAAGACCTTGCCTCTAGGAATACAGCACAGAGAAGCTAGAAAATTGTCATTCAGCCCCAAGCCATCATCTCTAGTGCTCACTAGGCTGTACAGAATAGAACAGTCAGAGCACTTAGCTCAAATATATACTATTGTTATTATTAGAACATGGCTACTTTGTGAGTCAGCCCATTCCAGCTGACACAACAAAATGACATACTGTATAGTGCATACTGATCCTACATGAAACACTTTTAATATAAAAGTTAGCCTGTAGCCACAGTCAGTCCACTGGTCAAAAATTGAGCATCTGCTGCGTATCAGCCTGGCCAATGCATGAGTACTTGAGTGAAGGGACTTCTTTGCATTTTCTCATAGGCTATTAATCTTGCGGGCATTAGCAAAATCTATCTTAAAATGATTCATACAGGCCAGGTGTGGTGGCTCACGCCTGTAATCCCAGCACTTTGGGAGGCCCAGGTGGGTGGATCACAAGGTCAGGACATCCAGACCATACTGGCTAACATGGTGAAACCCTGTCTCTACTAAAAATACAAAAAATTACCCGGGCATGGTGACGGGCACTTGTAGTCCCAGCTACTCGGGAGGCTGAGGCAGGAGAATGGCGTGAACCCAGGTGGCGGAGCTTGCAGTAAGCCAAGATCATGCCACTGCACTCCAGCCTGGGTTCATATAAGTGAAGATGTATCACCACATAAAATCAAGGTAGTATTATCCATAGTTCTATAATGATATGGTAAGTAAAAATATGTGGATCTGTATGGAAAATGTTTAGGAAAAAGTGAAGTGGGAAAGCAAAAAGCAACTGTCTTCCCGAAAGAGTGAGGGATGAGGCATATGGGAAGGTCAATGTAAGTAAATTGTAAAATGGTACCAACCAGTATATGGACCATGACAAAATAATAAGAGAAGAGAGGCAATAAGTCAGGGACCTCAACAAGGAAAAGTCTAGAGGAAATGAAAACCTGGGGATAAATTGTTTAATCATGACTTTGGAATCCATGTGAGTTCTCTGCCAACTAAAGTAGCCCTCCCTCCTCTCATCTGGCATGATTTCCAGACATCACTGAAGATCTCTTTTTCCTCCAAGTTCCTGCTAGGTTAATTTATCCATCAGGTCCAAAGCCTTTTATCCCAAAATTGGAATAAATTGGAATGCAAATTCTGCCATGAGATTTTGTTCTTACGTGTAAATGACAGATACTCTATTCCTCTCTGAGCAAACAGGAAAATAAGCAAAAAAGGGGAGGAGCGGGGAGGGATAGCATTAGGAGATATACCTAATGTAAATGACGAGTTAATGGGTGCAGCACACCAACATGACACATGTATACATATGTAACAAACCTGCACGTTGTACACACGTACCCTAGAACTTAAAGTATAATAAAAATATATATATATATATATAAAATAAAAAAAAAACAGAATATCCCCTTTTGGAAGTAGAAGTAGATTAACCTATTAAACTAATATCAGCCATTCAAAAAAAAAAAAAAAAAAAAAACTTGAGGAACCAAATTTGATGAGGATGGTCAACCACAGAAGTGCATAAATTGAGAAGCCTTCAAAACTTTCTAAAACTTTCTCTGTTGTCCAAAAGAAGAAAGATAGGGATTAAGGGGCATTTGCAGGAAGGAAATATTTCATCTCTTTCCCAGTGTTGATGCTGGTACACTGTGATGTGGGCACTTCATATGGCAGAGGAGATCACACAGATTTCATTAAGGAATCAATCATTTTTTCCTCAAGGAAAGGAATCAAGCATTTTCACCAATAAGGTGAGGGAAAATGCTTACAAAAGATAGGATATTTTCCAAACCTCATCTACCTCAGTAGCATCTTCCAGATTTGTGGCAATAAATGTTTCTAAGTGTAATTAAAGGCTGAGCCGATCTAATTAGGTTGATGAAATTTTCAGTGGGACTTCATTCCCCTTAGCATTTCACTCATTTTTTTTCTCTCTCTCTAGAATACTTCCTTAGGCTTAATCTGAGCAATTTTTAGTGGCAGCATTCTAAGTTACCTCACACAGGCAGTGTCTCCACTCTGATTGTAAAACCTCCAGCAGGTACATATGACTAAAAACAAACTTCAAATAAAGGATTCTAGGTTGTTTTATTTAACACACAGTCCTTTCCTACCTCTTCAGTTTCATTTCCTTACTAACAAACTACGTTAAATAATGTTCACTCTGCAGGAGGGAAATAAGCATTTCAGAGCATTTCGGGGGCACAAAGAGACCAGGAAATGCATAATAATTGCAGGAACAGGTTCTGAGGGGGAGATTAATGAGGGAGCGCCATGACCCTTCCTGATAGGTCAGTGACTACAGAAACACTTATACGATGAAAATATTGGGATAGAAACACATACTAGTGAGATTTTCATCTATCTTTAAAGATTCTTAAAATATATCTAGTGAGCACCTGAAGAATTAACTGTAAGACTTTTCTACAGGAAAATGCTTTCCAAGTGGTCTAAGGTAAATGGGCAAGATGTCCTCATAGAGTCTGAGCATCTCAGACACCATGATTTCTCTTTCTGCAAGATTTTCTAACCTCCTCTCCTTTTGTAGCAGTCACTCAAAAACTGCTTGTTAGAAAATTTAATTAAATATAAAATGATCGAAAATTCTTAAGCAACATATATTTCAGCTCTTACTCAGTGTTATCAAAATGCAAATAATATAAACAAGTATTTCTGTCAAAACAGTGTTGCCTTTGCAAAAATCAGATTTAGAAAGCATATTTTTTTAAAGACCTATTATCTTCTAAGAATTTCATAGGTATGGGCTGCATATAATGGCAATTTATTATTTATAATTTTTCTTTAACTCTTTTTTTTCAAATTTAAACCTGTGAGTCATTTTTCAATGAGTACAGATATTTTCCCAGACTTTGATTTACTTGTGATGAAAATATGAATTATTTAAAAAAAACTACTTTGATCTCTATTTGAATTCCCGGCCATTCAAAGTTCCTTGTCATTTTAAACAAAGCACCATATGAAGTTCAGGTTAGGTTTTACCAAATTATTTTGAGCTAATCTTATTTTATTTTGAAATTTGATAATCACATACACAAAAGTAACTTTCCAATTGAGGGTTAGTTGTTCTACGTGCAAGCAAAGTCTCATTTCAAATAGACATTATTAAATGCCATATAGGGAAAGACCTAAGTTGCTTCTAAGGAATATGAGATTATAGGTTGTTTCAATATGTTGAGTGATTTCCTTTTTTTTCTTTAATCTGTAAAGAATAAATGTGTAAATTCGTGAGAGTGATATTTTTATGCCTTGAATGCCATTGTTTACAATGAAATAGAATCGGCCATTTAAATATTATATTTTCCTTGATAGGGTTCTGTATTCTAATCCTGCTGGACCCCCTTATTACTCTTGGTCAAGTAACTTCTCTAGGTCTGTTTCCCCAAAGGAAGAAAGTTGAACTTAGAAAATGATTTCCAGGATCCTTTCCATTCTAACACTCCAAAATTTCTTCCATGACTTCAGACAAGGTGTTATTAGAATCTCCTTCAAGACTGGTTATGCTAAGAGGCACTACATACTAGACTGAAAATAAAAATGCCATCAGCCAATAAATGAAGTCATAATTAAGGGTTTACACATGCAGTGTGCTATCGACCAGGAAGTCCAAGCTAGAGTTCAGGAAAATTTACATAGATTTTACTGTTAAGAGAGATTCTGTGAGAATGAACATGGGTATATCCCTCTCTTTTCAGTAACTTCACAAAGCTGACCTATTTGAAGTAGGGTGATTTAACTCACAATCCATGATACTTTGTCACTATTTCATTTCAGAAGTAACAAGAGCAGGGCCTTCTAAATAGATAATGGTTCAGACAGGATGGAAACTATCAACAACTAAAAAGCCCTCCAAAGTGCTGGGATTACAGGCATGAACCACGACACCCAGCACGTTGGGAGGCCAAGGCGGGCAGATCACTTGAGGTCAGTAGTTCAAGACCACCCTGGCCAACATAGAGTGAAACCCGTCACTACTATAAATACAAAAATTAGCTGGGTGTGGTGGTGCATGCCTGTAGTCCCAGCTAACTTGGGAAGCTAAGGCAGGAGAATTGCTTGAACCCAGGAGGTGGAGGTTGCAGAGAGCTGAGATCATGCCACTACACTCCCCTGGGGAACAGAGCAAGACTCCATCTCTTAAAAAAAAAAAAAGCCCTCCAAGTGAGGTATGTTTTGATTTATAGATTAATTGTGCTGATATCCTTCCAAACTCCAGTGCATCAGAAGAAGTAAAATGAAAAAGATTACACAAGTCAAGAAAAAAGTGACCGTGCTTCCTCAGACACACACCCCAGATGGGGAAGACAGAGTTGGAAAGTGTCCAATCAATAAAGAAGAGTGAATTGTATCCAAACCCTATAGTGACAACAGCACAAGTGAATCCTCCTTTTATGAGTTTAGCCACTGTGAACTAACATGTCACTTGGAAGACCACCTAACTTATTTTTTGGTATTGTGGTTTTTCTGGTTAAAAGGCCAATATAAAAAAAAATGAATACTAAGGTAAGGAATCTTTATTTATCAATTCATAAATTAGAGGTGTTAATCTGAAGCACGGTTTAATTTGAAACTGTTATTTTAGATTAAGGCAATTAACTACAGTTTTATACACACACAGAAAAAAACTGCCTCACTTATGCAGAATTATCAGAAGATTATGTGTCTCAGCTGAACTCAAGGATTCCCTGCAGGAATTACTATTATTATTATTTGGATGCCCAAGAGTTCTTTAGTTAGATTCCCATTTCTGCTAGAGTTCCCTCGATTCCCCTTCCTTTTTCCAATCTAAGCAGGATTACTCTTCTCTGTATAAAGCAGGATGTAGGGACTGATTATACCTGGCCTGGCTCACAGTGAAAATGAGGAAGTTGGTACAGGTGATTGGGGATGCGGCTCTGCCCTCCACTTTCCATCCCTAGAATGGAGTTTCAGAAATCTTCTAAAAATATCTAATTATTCTTTTACCATACCTGATATGCTTTCTCCATCCCTGCCTGTCTAAATTAGTCACTGTTTGAGATGCTCATATTCTGACTCTTCTGTGTTTCTCTCCTTGTCTTCTAGAACTCTCACTCATCTCACCCTCTTTTTAAATCAAATAACTGTGTTAAATAATTTAATAATTCATTCCTCACAGTCTATTATTCATTTGTAAACATTGTTTTAGTTTGTAACAAATTTGAGAGTTTGTACAATCTTTTAGGAACTCTAACAAACATTTCTCTTGCAAAAGGGCTCTTAACTATGGTAGTTAAGAGCACAAGGACACTGAAATCAGACTTCCTCGATTAAGATTTAGACTTTCATACTTGTTAGTTGTGTGACCTTCCTCAAGAAACTTACCTGCCTCAAACCTCAGTTTCTTTGTCTGAAACATGCAGATAATAAAATGTCTACCTATTTTGTGAGGATTCCTGTAAAGCTCTTATAATAGCACAAAATAACAGCTCTGGAAATATTAGTACTATAATAATAATAATAATAAATAATAATAATAATAATTAGATTATCATCCTCTACAGAGCTTAACACAAACCTGGATCATACTACATATTTGTAACCAGTAAAAGTTACTTTCTGAAAGGCAATCTATCACTCCTACTACAAAGCATGGGTAGGTTTGGCCTTTCAGAACTGCACCTCTTCATGTTTGTTAAAACTATTGCACCTTTAAATCTCCCTTAGGATTATTCTATATACATCCACATACTGGGCAACAAATCAACCAGTATGTTCACATAAAGAGAAGACAGGGAAGGATAATTCAGTAGTAATTGTTTTTCCCTAATGCTTAACTGAATCAAGTTTATATGATTAAATTATTTACTTCAGAATAAACCAAGTACATCACTGCTTACCAACAGCACCTATGGCTAACAGTGAATTCAAAGTTATTTAACTTTGATGTTTAGAAATCTACACCATTAAATTGTAGGCATACAATGTAAGAGGAACCTCTGGTTCCAGTAGCCCAAAGAAATTGGATTGTGTCTGAATGAATTTTTTTAAAGACAGCTTTTATGGAAAATATTCATTAAAAAATGAAATTCAGGGACTTCTTCATCTTTCTCTCCCCAAAACCCAACAAATTCCAATCTTATACAAAGTTACAATACACAACTACAGCTGATAATGAGGGATGAAATTATTGATGTCATTTAGTTTGATGATCTTGCTCAGATAAATATCAAGTAAATTCACCAGATAACATTTACTTCCTCCAGAATGTGTTGAAAATAAGGGAAGAAAATTATGTCATTATATAGACTTATTTTGTTTTAGTTTTGTTTTGAATTACATAGTCGTTGCTTCTCCTATAGGCTAATTGCTTTTTCTTCTTTTTTCTTTTAATACTCAAAAAAGTCATCACTGTATGCATAACACCTATGGCATTTAAGTAGAAATAAGCAAGTAAACCATTTAGCTCAACTTTAGACCCAGTATCTCTTTTTGTTTGACTTTCTTTTATAGCTAATATCAACTGTCCACACAAATCTCAAATGTAAATTACTTACAGACTAATAAAGAAGAGGAACCTAATTCCTTCATAATGATCTATGAGCTGTTTCCCTCCCCCAATCCTACATAAACAATAGTAGAATATTGAATTTAAAGTTGTGCCGTTTGACTCTGGAACATCGGGTCTTCAGCAAAGGTGCTTTCATGCTGGATCTGAAATGATGAGACCATGAATTAGGAATGATTCTGATGGCAACGATATTTACCTCTTTGAGACAGCCCATAAAGTTGTTACTGACTGGTGACCCTGGAAGGTCGGCTGTGCTGGGACTGCCTCCAACATAGAAAAAGTCATCAGACCCCAGCATGGTATAATCTTCTTGCGTGTAGCCCGTTGTGGTAAGAATCCCATCCACTGATATTGTCACCTAGATAACAAAGCACAGGGAAAGGACACGCTATACTCAGACCTAGATACTGTAATCCTGGGATATGCCTGTTTTGTGTTTTGCTTTTGTTTTTTTGTTTTGTTTTGTTTTGCTTTTTTCTTTTTTTCTGTTTGTTTGGTTTTTGTTTTTAGACCTATGACGGAACCCATTTTCATGTCTGTTTGAGGTTTATTCTTAGATTCTATTCAACTAGCCCTAAGAGATCTAAACTAGTTAGAGAGTTAACTGATTATTGAACTAGTGTCAGCATCATCCCTACTGCAACTCAAAAGTTATTGAGCAGACACAAAAATGGTGTTAGTAAAATGCTTCCTAGGTTAGTTTTGCTGGTGTACATATTAGTAAGGTTTAGTTGTCTGTTATTAACTAATCACAACGTGCACCTTGTTAACATAAAAGGCGCAAGCTATTTCCAGCAACATCACTATTTGCACTATTGAGCAGCAATTGTTCAGCATGCAAGTGCCTAAGTCCATGCCAAAGGGAGAGAAAAGGCAAAACAACCAGTAGAAGCGGCACACGCTGATGTGCACATGCAGGAGGTACAGTACAGTTCAGAAAAGGAAAGAAAGAAAACAGGGAGAACCAAAGGAAAAACATAAAAATAAAAACAACTGCTTTGTGATGACGTAAAGATGAGTGGGTGTGGCATCTCCAGCATTCCCAAATCAAGTTTCCATGCCATGCATCATGAATGGTTAGAGACTGGCTGAGCTGCGGTCACTCGGGCCAGCCACCATTTTGTCTTATCCCGTGTTAACCACAGCTGGATGCAAAACGTTCGAAACGTTAACGATGCCCCTACAGGTGAGTTGGAAAACAGAAGTTGACAGGAACAGGTAAAAAATAAGAAGGTCAACAACAGATGAAAAGAAGGAGGTCAAAGTAAGCAGAAGAGTACCAACCGCAGTTCCTCTTTTGTTAATGATGTCTACAGTTAAAAGAAAGAAAGAAAACACACGGCAAACCCAAAATAAGAAACAATTAGAATGATATCTACCGAACAATGTAGTTTGTTTACCATAGCGTGTCCAATGCCTGAGTGCTTTGTGGAGAAGGGGGGAGAAAGGAAATTAAAAACTGTGAACAGAATAACGATCGTTACTTAAAAAATATGATGGTCTCTACCATGTTAGTACATTTTTTGATTCAGGTAACGGTTAGTAGAATGAAACATTCCATGAATGACATGTTAGTTATTAAGCATGTTAGTAACATAGAAAAAGGGCAAAAAAATTTTACAAGAAAAAAGCAGACTAACAAGTAGGCCTCCCACAGAGGTAATATTTTTCCTGCTATTATTGTTCATAATTTGCTACTAGACAGAAACAGACACATGACAATGTTCCCTTTGTCTTCCTGAGTACATCTGAGAGACATTGGAAAAGTCTAAAAGGGATTCAAAGGCCTAAAGCGTTTCAGCTGACCACTGCAGCCCTATGCCCATACTTGACCCCTCCTCCACCCTGGCCCACCCCAGCCCCAGGAAATTAGTAGGAATCAGTTGGCATTGCCCTACTACTCAATTTTACAGCATACAAGGACTCCTCCTCAACTTCAAAACTTCCTTCGGTCATATTGATGGACTTTAGGGTCACAGTTTACTGCAATGAAACAAAGCAAAGATCCTGACACATAGAATGAGTAGAATGGATTTGTGTTTAATCTGTCCTGCTACACATGCACCCCGGCTGTATAACTACAGTTTCCTTTGAGCTACCAATTCGCAGTTTGGTTTGTAACCTGAGCAAAGGCAAATCTAGAAAGTGGACTCCTTGAGCCCCCACCCTTCCTTCTGTGCTTCTCTCAAATGAGCCTCTGGTTTCTTTGTGCATATCTGAGAGAAAAAATTAAAAAAGGAAAACCAAAGAGACAGACTTATAGGAAATCCATGGTCTACAGTTATACTGATGGTGGCCAATCCTCTCCAAAGGCAGGTGGAAGCATGCAGGGCCCCTCCCATGTCAATGAGGGATCTGGAAGGTCTGGGGTTCTCAAGAATCTTTCAGTTTTATTTGTTTGCCTTAGCTAGACTAAATCTACACTCCTAAAGCTCCTTTTTCTTTCTCTAGCTCAGATAGTATAAACCTTTCAGAACAGGAAAGAAAAGGTTAGACAGTTAACAGCTCTGAAAGAGAGGGCTGTTTTGGTAAAGGAAAACCAGAGACAATCCGGTCATTCTGCAACTGTTCAGAGAAACAACAAATATGTTAAGGATATTAGTTTAAGATCAGCATGTACGGCAATAAAATTAGTCACTGTCAACACTTAACAAAATGATACACTGTAATATAAAGTTTCACATAATACCCAAAACTTATAATGTTCAATATAAAAGGACAATCTATTCATTTTCATTCGTATATATACTGTAATCACGTATTCATTAAAAACATACAGTATATGTAGACCCACAGATTTAGTAAATAGTTGATATTTTCCTAGTATATAGCATCTTGAAAAAGTTTTTTTAAAAAAATACAATTAAATAGAAATGGGCACCTAGAAGATTAACTGGCCTTTCCAGAGTCATTTGGGGTTTAACTTAAAGCATCTATGCTAAAAATAAAAGTATCTTCAAAAACAGACCCTTCAGGAGATATGTAAGCCCCTAAAGAAATTTTTCCCCTCAGGGACTTCTCTTGTCCCCATTTTGGGGTTGGGAGGAGGAGGGAGTAGGGACTGATACAATCCCAAATCACAAACACTATTTTTTCGACTACAAAAAAGGAACTGTGACTTAATGACCCCAATGTGCATGCTTCCAAATGATCACCATGAAAACTACAATTTAAAATTAAACAAACAAAAAAACCAAAAACACAACAAAATCACACACATCACAGGAAGGGCAGGTCGCAGGGATATCCTTGCAGCCCTTTTGGAAATTTTCATATGGCCCTGTATCAAAATAGCCTTTGGGCTCCCAGAACTTTCTAGATATGCCCCTGCTCAAGTATGGCAGGAAGATTCATCTCAGAAGAAGAAAAAGCTAATTTGCAAGTGACTCTGAGGAGCCCTGTATCATGTTGTTAGAGTATTTAAGTACCACACACACAGCTATAGCGAGAAACAAAGCCAGTTACTCTCTTATCCACTGCGCTGTTACCTGACGCAGATTCCTGGTGACTTTCACATCATGCCAGGCATTATCATTAAACTTTCCATTCACAGGCTCCACTAGTGCTTCAAAGGCCCCTGATCCCAAATTAATGACCAGAGAGACAGCTCCATTTTTCAGGGCAAGATTGACATAATCAGCCGATTTCCCAGTGTGAAGCATCAGTCCATTCCTCTGAAGGGTTTTAAATGACAGAGTTATTTCATCACTGCTGCTTTGAATGGGGTTTTGAGACAAGTCGTAGCAGAAGTATTCAGATCCTTTGAACGTGGCAATATATTCTTCTTTTCCTAGAGGAAAACAGATGATACATACATAAGTAAACAAATACACTATGCAAATCAGCAGGTCTTAACAGAAACAATAGCTAATCACTCCCCAAATTAACCTGCTTAATTAGATTTCATGACATGAACTCTGTCTCAGTCAAACAGTACTGTACAGGGCAGTATTTTTTAAAAAATTTTATTATTATTATACTTTAAGTTTTAGGGTACATGTGCACAATGTGCAGGTTTGTTACATATGTATACATGTGCCATGTTGGTGTGCTGCACCCATTAACTCGTCATTTAGCATAACTCATCCTAATGCTATCCCTCTCCCCTCCCCCAACCCCACAACAGTCCCCGGTGTGTGTGATGTTCCCCTTCCTGTGTTCATGTGTTCTCATTGTTCAATTCCCACCTATGAGTGAGAACATGTGGTGTTTGGTTTTTTGTCCTTGAGATAGTTTGCTGAGAATGATGGTTTCCAGCTTCATCACACGTATGTTTATTGCCGCACTATTCACAATAGCAAAGACTTGGAACCAACCCAAATGTCCAACAATGATAGACTGGATTAAGAAAATGTGGCACATATACACCATGGAATACTAGGTGGCAGTATGTTTTTAATAAATCTCAACTATTGGGCCATCAACTGCAGTAGCTAAAGCTGACATTCTTGAAAATTCAATTAATTTTTCAGTATCACTGCAAGAGCTCTGATCAGAGAAAGTAGTTCTGTGATATCTCCAGGGCATGAATCAGGTACCATAAATGCATATTGGATGGTTCCACTCTGCTGACAACAATGGATTCCAAGATGTTTTCAACATTCTCTCCATCCAACTGAGGCATTATTTTAATTTTCAGTGAAACATTTATGTTCAAAGATCTTTTTCAATGAAGAGACAAACAGTTTTATCATTGAGAGACCATAGAAAATTATCTGGTAAGGAGAAAGGGAAGAAAAAAAGATAGAATCTGGTCTGGGAGTAAACAGACCTCCTACAGAGCATGTGCATTTTTTATCTCTGGATGGAGGGAGTAGTGATAGAAAGTCTAATGGAGTCAGCTGGATTACTGATCTATTCCCTGGTGTAGTTAAGCAGATGGTAGGGCTGGCTGTTATGACACTGGTAAGAATTCTAGCACATCGTCATGGGGATAGCATGTAAATGAAGTCTCAACATTTTCTACGTATCTTATTCTTTACCAGATTTAGGAGTAACAAGGCGGCTCTCACGAGATGCTAGACAGATCAAACAGAAAGGTGGATATTTGGAAGGAACAGTCTTCTCCCACTGATGAGGTGAGTTGAACCAAAGGAAGAATGTAAGCCATAAGACCCCTTGACTTTCTAGGCAGTAATGATGCTGTGCCAAGAAAAATGAGACAGCATGGTTGGGAATCAGCTTCTGATAAACTATAAACATATAATTATAAACGGTACTGGAGAAACTTAATCTGTCCCACTGGCGACATACTATCACTATTATGCCCCCGAGAGGGTTGATACATCAGCAGGTGTTGCATTCTCCCCTGTAATAGGTTTTTAATCTCAGGACTATTTTCATTTGATTGTCAAATAACTCACGTCCTGGAATCAGAGCTCAAATCGCTTTCAACGCATCAGTGCCAGATGATCTGCCTTCCTGGATGTAGAAAATGGCCATCAGTGGCTACAGGTAGTCAAACCATAGCAATAAATATCACGGTGAGCACCTACAGGTATTCACCAGGAATTGAGCCCTGGAATATTAGTCATTGACTACTAGCAAATTATTAGCCAAGACTATCAGTCAGACCAAATAATTCTGAGTAAGTCATAGGAAAGACCTCCCAATCTGTAATAGTGAATCCCTCCCATTCAAACGCTCAGAATATTGGCTGAGCACCTCCCAAGTGTTAAGCCCAGTACCAGTTATTAGAGATAATGAAGTGAACACAATGGACTTAATTCCTGTCTCGGAAAGTTATAGTCCAGGTGTCTGCTCCCCTGGTCAGTCCAACATGGCAAGTGGTTCAATATTGGGCACAAGTACAACTATATATTACTATTATACTGAGAGGAAAATGTGGGTCAAAATATGAGTTTGGATTGTAGGTTGGCCACTAGCTGTCACTAGAACAATTATTTGCTTTTCAAATTTTGGTTTCTGAAAATGGTTAGAGATACCAATCTTTCAGAATGAATGTGAAGATACAATGAGATAATGTCTGTGCAGACATCTGGTAAAGTTGATACGCTGGTGATAAATAGTCAATGTCTTCCTGCTTGCCTAATTAATGTGATAAATGTGATAAATCATCTAAAACAAACAACATAAATCGTATGTTATTATGAAATCTAGAATTTTCTCTTTAAGATAAAAAACAGGACAAGGATTCCCACTGTCAACATTTATATTCAATGCTACACTTGACATTGTAGCTAATGCAGGAAGACAAGAAAAGTATATGAACATTGTAAAGATTATAAATGAAGAAAATCATGTGATATAAGCAAATATATTGCACAAATTGAAACACTAAAATAATCTACAGAAATTATTTGGCTTAATAAGAGACTTTGGAAAGAATTTAGAGTTCTGTGTACTAGAGACAATCAATGTTTCAACATATGTAAATAGATTCATAGATTCAATGAAATCCTAATCAAAATCTCAAAAAATTTAAAAAAACAGGTAAAAAGCTGATTCTTCACAATCTATGAGAAAAAAAAAGAGTCCCAAATAGCCATGATATGCCAGAGAAAGAAGATGAAGTAAGTTGCCTGCGTAAAGATGGACATTTATTACAAAATTATAGTGCTGAAGAAAATGCATTAGGATAGGTAAAATGAGGAGAATAACGATAATCAAACTTAAAATATTCTTAAGCATATATGAAAACAATTTACACTGTCAAGCATTTCAGATAAGTGTGCAAAAGATAGATTAGTCAATAAAGGTTACTGGGACAATCAGTTATTCATAAGAAAAAAGTGAAATTGGATCTTTACATCCTTTGTTCACAAAAATCAATTCTACATGGATGCCCGATTTAATTTAGAGAGGCAATCTGTGAAAACTTGTCAGACAATAAAGTTTGATATGGAAGAATGGAAGGACTTCTAAAATTAGCATAAAGGCACTAATAAATATTGATACACTCATCTACATTAAAATTAACAATGCTGGGTCATCAATAATACCATAGAGTAAGAAGTTAAATAACAATTTTGGAGAAAATATTTTCACTTCCTATTAATCAACAAAGGATTATAATCCAGAATATGCCAAGCACCTCAGCGAATCAATACAAAAATAAAGACAACCAATGAAGAACACACACAAAAGAAATGTAATTTCATGGAAAAACAGATATGTATTGCTTATGAATAATGAACAGATATTCATTCCTATTAGTATTCAGGAAATGGTAAAAATCAAACTACATTCAGATACCATTTCATAGCCATGAAATTGACATAAAACGAAAAGAAAAGAGAATAATTCCACATTTTGCCAAGGCTACCGAAAGTCATTCTTATATACTGCTGATGCTGATAAGATAAAAATTGACCAACTGTAATAAGTTTCTTTTGGCATTATGCAATCCCATGGGAATTTCACATATTACAAAGAACTTGGGTCTCAGTCCTTAGAAAATAGTTAACCAGGATCAGTTAACTAAACATTTGCCAATTCCTTCAACTCATTTGTCATTGCTTATTGTTCTGCTCATTTGATGATAGGTAGTCAAGTGGGTTCTGGTTCATGTATGTGTGTGTGTGTGTGTGTGTGTGTGTGTGTGTGTGTGCGCATACTAATAATTATATATGAAAACAATTTATATTGTCTGGCATTGCAGGTAAGTTAGCAAAAGATACAGAGGTCACTAAAGGTTGCTGGGACTATTGGTTATCTATAAGAGAAAAATGAAATTGGATCTTTACATCCTTTTGTTTCCCAGAATCAATTCTACATGATGAAGGATTTAATTTAGAGAGGCAATCTATGAAAGCTTTTGTCAGACACAGACACACACACACACACACACACGAGAGATCCACTTATCTGAATATGGTATTTGCAAAATTTTACATTCCCACTGAATAAGTAGATCTCTGAGTCAGCAGGAGCCTTAAAGACAATCCTGCAGCCCAACCCATTAATTTACATTATTAAGAAAGCGAGGCTCATGGAGTTTATATGACCCTCAAATTCATAAAATGTGACAGTAACAGAAGTGGGACTAGGATTCAGACTACTAATCCAGATACTGTCTAACATGCCACAACACCTGTGTGTCAGACAGAAGTGATATATAGCATTGTGAAAGAAAGAAAAAAAGAGAAAAAAAACTGTTTGTGAAGATATGTCTTAGTAAGAAAATAATAACTGTGTTTTAGTCTACTTAGTTTAAAAGAGCAGGTAATATATTAAGAAAGATTCCACTTAGATAACTAAATTATAAAGTTTTGGAGCTTGAAGAGTTTTGGTCCAGTAAGAAGGCTGTAGAATTTTATCCAAGATATCTTGTATCATTCCAAATCTGCATAACTCAGAATAAATCTCAACAAAGGTTTTGTTTGCCAGATAATGTGGCATACCCAAGGGGTTAAATAATAAACAGTTTGCAATTCACTATGTAATAAACTTTGAAGTTATATGGGTGTTGATGTATTTTTAACACTATGATATTCCCCTTACTTAAAAATGAAAATATATCATTTCTTTTGTATTGTTTAATTCCAAATTTAAGTAATTCAAATTTACATTAAAGGCAACCACATAGTTTTGGAAAAAATTCAGTCTGTGGAATATGCAATTACCTTAAAATGCCATAAATGGGACATAAATCTAAGCAGGGAAAATATTTCTTCCTATGTTCTTTTTCATGAAAGAACATATATACTACATGAAAATACAAAAATCACTTTTTCACAATATATAAGAATATTATGTTTCATCTAATCATTTGCTACCTTACAATCTTTGTAAGTAAGCTTTGTGCTATTCTATAAACAAATACTAAGCAGCAGAGTGTTTACATATGTGTTTCTGCTGAACACTTAAAGAATAAGTCTACGTCCATTTTTAAATACAAGTCCCAAATAACTTTTGCATTTCTACTATGTGCTAAAACAACGAAAATGAAAAAGAAATTAGACCCAAAGCCACGTAAATGTCAATAAATACTTATATCTAGGATACAAAGAGACCTCTTACAAATCAATAACAACAACAACAAAAAACAAAAACGCAACACAAGCCAATGGGAAAAAAATGATAAAGTAGTTGAACAGACATTAAAGTATAAAAGGCTATCTTCAAAGAAATGCAAAGTAAACCATAATGAAATAACAGCACACTCCACAGAATGAATAAAATGAAAAATACAAAAAAATCCAGTGTCAGTGAGGATGTGGGGCAACTAGAACTCTCATACATTATTGGTAGGAACTATTTTGTGAAATTGTTTGGCATTCTCTTTTAAAGCTGAACTTGGGCCTACCCTATGATCCACCAATTCCACTCATAAGCATATATCCAACAAAAAATACACATATCATCAGAATAGCATACTAGAATGTTTACAGTGTTACCCTGCATAAATTATCTAAAACTTAACACTACTGAAATAACAACCAATAATAGAATGGATAAATTTCAGTATAGTCACACAATAGAATATTAAATAACAATGTGAATCTATGAGCTGCAACTGCAACAGAAATACAGATAAATCTCACAATAATAATGTTTAGCTAAAAAAAATGCCTGACACAAAAGAGAACATAGTTCTGATTCCATTTATATAAAAAATTTAAAAACATGCATAACTAGCCTCTGTTGTTGTAAATCAAGACAGTGGCTATGCTTGGTAGAGATGGAGAGGGGATAGTAGTGAGGAGAACTCTTGGGGTACAATTAATGTTGTTCTTGATTTAAGGGTTGCCTATGGGTGTGCTAAGCGTGTGAAAAATTAATTTACCTGGACATTTATGCTACATTTATCAGCATAAATACTATATTTCAATAAAATGTTTGAATAATCTGGATGATTAAGCATAAAATGAATTTGTCTGATGAAGTATTTTCTTCCTGATTAATAAGATGATATGAGAAGACACTATTCCTATTAATGCTACTATTAATAGTAAAAGCTAAAATAAAGCCAATAGTAATAATTTCAATTGTCACTTTTTAAAACTTTTCAATGAATATTAATATCCTTTAATTACCATTTGCTCTTAAGAGTAATCTCTCAAGATTTAAAAAATATATATATACGCTGCTTGGTAGTAATTGTTTGAAGATCCATATCTTAAATGTGTTGATTAATGGATTGATTCAAGATGAAAAGAGCCTCTATTTCTAGCCACAGCAATGTTATGATAAAATTGGGAAAAAGTAATATTTAAAAATTTGAAGCATCTTTCCAATAGTCTACAACAATTGATTTTATGTTGCCACACAGTTGGAGGAAAATATTTAAGAGTCTGCCATGGGATTTCAGTCCCATTCCATATCCGACACACTATAACTTAGAAGAAAATTCACAGTTCTTGCTCATCTAATTTTCTGAGAGTAAGCTCAACTTTAAGATTTTTTTGATATAAAAACAAACTTCTTATAGAAAAAAAAGTTAACCATTACTGAACCACTTCATTGGATGTTGTAGAAGGTGTTCAATCCTTAGATGGTAGATTGAACAAATGGATTGGTTTCAACACCAAGAATCACTGATTTCTACTTTACGGGAAAAAAAATGTTAAACAAAGATAGGTTAAATGACTTCCTAAGTTCACACAAAAATTGATTCTCAGGACAATGCTCCTTTGCATTACCAGTGCATAGAATATAATCTCATTAATTTGACCCAATGCCTCTGTATCTTCTAACTTCACTGAACTTCTTCACCAAATAAATAATCTGCAAGGAAATTACCGTACATCTTAAAGACAAGGATGCCTGCGGGCAGAACGAAGTCCCACTGTCCCCAGTTACATGAAGAATGTCAAGTCATTTTTGTATGCCAAAAAACTAGCCAATATTATTATTCTTGATTATATTGCTTTTCATACATATAATCCCAAATCACACAGGTTGGAAGGTTTTACTATAGTTATATGATTCAAAGATTATGTTCAACATAAACCAGAAACTAAAATCAATATATGAAAAAACAAATGAATGAAAAAAGATATTTGGGTGAGAGCCCTGCTTCATTTATTTTTCTATTCTAGAAGTCAAATACACAAAAATATTGTGCCAAAAACATCCTTGACCAAGCAGATGTACACATTAGAAGTCTGCATTATTAAAACAAATAAGCCAGGCTGTCTCTGCTATAAGATAAAACAACTTTAGAAAAGCAGAAAAGGAATGTCTGCTTATTGAAATTCATATCAAATTAAATCCTCAGTCCTTAAGAAATTTACTATTATCTTATTTGCCACGAACTGTGTAACTGAGAAATTAAAACAATAAATTGATTATTACAAGTAAAAATCACATTACTTTCAAGGGAGAGTAGTTCACTCATTAGATTTTCTACGTAATATATGTTGTAAAATATTCTAAAATTACCAACTATTTTTCAACATATGTAAATTCTGAGTCTAACTTCTCTTGTTCTGCAGCGAGTAATCAAGATTTATAAAATATTCACTCTTCAAGACTTATCTCACTTAGGTAAACCTCGAGACCAATCCAGAAATAAATTGCCAAGCTTCTATCAAATAATTCAAAAGGAGACCCAGGACTCTTGATGATACACTTGAAGTCACTAAATATGAAAGGTAAGTTAGACTTAGACATTATTTAGTCCAGTGCCTTCATTTATTAGATGAACAGTGTCAGGGCCCAACAGACAAAACTATGGTCACATAACTAACTGAGGAAAAGTCAGAATATAATCCTTGCCCTCTTGATAACAGTCTCAGGTTCTTCCTAATTTCTAGATATTGCCATAAAATGAGCTTCTAATTCATTACCAAAAACTAAATGCAGCTTAAATTTGAGGATATTTCTGCAAAAGAAAATAGGACATGTTCCAAAACTCTAGTACGATAATTTTCCAATCTTATTGTGCAATTGATTTGCATTTGTTAAAATAACCAAAGGTGCTGAGAACCAAACAGGCCATTCTGTGTCTGGCTGGACTGACTAGTCAGTTCTACATATAAAATGAGACACACAGGGAAAGGAATGAACAAATGATCCTGGAATTCATTAGGTGTGCAACATTTCAATTTCTGGGACTGACTCAGATTCAAGTACCTACAATGTAATCTATAAGAACTAGATGCTGTATCTTTTAACCTGAAGAAAATCATTAACACAATCAAAATTAAAAGTAGCTTCATGAATATGGACTTTATAAAGATTCTCTGCAAGAAATTTGAAAATTTCTGGGTGCCAATTAATGATTACTTAATAAATAAGTAAATTATAATAATGTTATTATATTCAAGGAGATGTATAGGTATTTTGTATTTATAAACAGTCCTCATTTATGAAATGGATATGAAGTAAATAAATTTAACTATGAAATCATCTTATTACCGACTTGGTCAAGGCAATATATTCTGAGCAATTTATCTATTTAACCAAACCCCAAAGAATAGCCAATTGCTTCTTTCTCCCTAGAATCAGACTGGGGTGGTCTGTAACTCTAAAAATCTATAATTTAATTTATGCAAATATTGTGGCCATCTTGTAAGCTGTTCTAAATTATAGAATGTATTTTTTTAATATACACAGATGATAGCATCTTGGAAGGCAAGAGCAGAGGAAAGGAGAATTTTCACAGGGAAGAAGAAAGAGTTGGTGAAAGTGAAATTGCTTTAACAAAATAATGATCTCTATACCTCCTTCTCGAACTGTGGTTTGAAGGACAGTATCATCAGCATTACTTGGAGCTTGTGAGAAATTTAGAATTTCAAGGCCCCCTCGACCCCAACTTACTGGTGCAAACTCTGTATTGTAACCCGATCCCCAAGGTGATTCTAGTGTACATTAAAGTGTGAGAGTCTTGTTATGAATGGATTCTTATAGTGCTGCAATTTAGAACATCTTTTAAGAATTATAAAGACAATTTTGTGTCTCTTGTATCTGAAATAAGTATTAAAGGCAAAATATATATTGATATCATGGCACTGTTCTTAAGGAATTAACATCCAGATGAATTATTTTGCATCTTTTCATTGGAAATAAAAAGCCCGGGGCTGGGTGGCGGGCGAAAGAATCAGAGAGCTCTGATCAGTGTGTAGATGTATCAATATCTATTTAATATGTACTCCAGCAGAGAGTCCAGGCTTTAAATCATTGGAAGCAATCTCTCAATTTTTATTCTCAACATGTTTCACCTTTAGGCAATATTACAATAAAATTCTCTGTGGGTTTGTAAACTTAGTGCCACTCTTCTGGATAAATGTAAAGGGTGTATAACTCCTGGTATATTCTAACAAGTCATCATTATTGGTGAATATACTTAACAAGTTTCATGCAACTGCATTTACGGTTCTCCCTAGAAATGTCTTTGTTCATACACTGCTGCAACTGAAAACTATCATGCATTCTGGATGTAAACTGATTCAATGAAAACAAATGGGCCTGGGCTGTCACATTTCCACTTACTATAGTCAAGTGAACTTGGAACATTTTAAAGTTAGTAACACTTAGAAATGCAAGAAATATATACTGCTAACTCAAAGTATCCTATGTTTTAAAAAAGAATGACAGTTTTTTAAAAGAAAGAAAAAAAACTAAAATTATCTTGATATCCCCAGCACATTAAGTAGAGGAGAGGGTAATAAATATGTGATAAGTGTAATGAGAAATCATGCTGGATGGGAAGAAATGTACTTTTGTAACTCCATCCATTCGTGTGCTTCATAGAAGGCTTGACCAAGGCTTTTTGGTTTATTTTGTTTTGTTTTTTTTTTCAGATGGAATGCTACTTTGTTATTAAAATAATGCAAAGAAGTAGGTCAGTATACACTAAAATCAGTATAAAATAAGAACACTTGAATTGTTGCATACCATTCTTCACAGTAGGAGCACAAGAGAAGGAACACTGAAAACCTATGGCATATCTTTGATTTCAACACAGAAAGAGCATAGAATCCAAAGGTTTAACACATGCAAATCCCCTATTCTAGATATTAGAAATACAACAGTAAATAAGGCTCTCAGGGTCTCCACTCTCATCAAACCAGTGATGGAGAGATAACCATAAGTGAGTCAAGTATAAGTGAGTTATATGTGAAACTGAGCAAGCAAAAGAGTGCAATGAGGGTGTGCAATAACTGAGCAGGGAAGTTGTTTTAGATGATTGGGGAAGCTTTATGAGACAATGATGATTAAATTGAGATCTTAATGCTGAGGAACCACTTGTGGGAAGATCTGGACAAAGAATAGAAAGAATAGGAAAAAATCCAGTGAGCATTGAGCACAGTGACACTGGGGCAATGTGGGAATACAATGAAATCAGAGCTGTGGGATGGGGCTATGTCATGTAAGTCCTTCTAAATTTTGGGCAAACTCTTTGATTTTATTCGATGCACAATGGGAAGCTACTAGAGTTTTATAGTTAGGGGAATGACATGGTTTGATTTACATCTCAAAAATATAACTCTGTCTATTGTGTGGAAAATAAACTCTGCGTAGGCATGGAAGTGACAGCAGTGAGTCCAACATTTATGAAGTTATAGAACATAGGAGTACGGGCTATGAAATTATACATATCTGGGTTCAAATCCCACTCACATGAGCAGTTGGGTAAATAATCACCTTAAAGTCTTAGTTTTCTTGTCAGTAAATGAAGACAATAATACTAGGATCTATTTTATAGGGTAGTTGTAAGGATTAAACAATATATGCATAATAAGCTTTTTAAAGACTGTCAATCCATGGGATATATTTGTGGAATATAAACAGAATATTTATGTATATATGTTATATTTCTTCATCTACTGCTTTTAACCATTAAGTTACTTCTTTTCCCCATCTCTTAATATCTTGGGCAGAATCACTGAATTTGTGGTCACTTTTGGTTTTTAAAAGTTTGGGCTAATTTATAAGTTAATCATGTCATCATTTTTAGTTGAAGTGGAGGAGGAAGATGTAGTATGCCTCTAGGTGTCTTACCATCACCGCCCCCTCAAGACCTGGCCCTTCCAGTTTATTGGGAAGGAGCTGATGAGGGGAAGAGAAAAGAGCAGTGGTTATTCATATAGTCCTCTTTCTGTGGGCTGTACCTGCTTCTCTGGTTCACCCTTACTGACCTCTGCTGCCCTTCATGCAGTAGACTCATGAGTGCTCCATGTGACTTCCCAACAGCAGTCAACAACATGAGAGAAATTCATCTGTCTCATCCCCCAGCTCATCTCCCAGCTCTAACCTTCACACAACACCCCATAGCATCTGGCTGCTCTAATCCCCTGGCCCAGCTAGTGGCCTTCTTGTGAGTAATACCGGCTAGGTGGCTCAAGCCAAAGACTCAAAGGGATATCTCCTTTACTGATGCCTGTGGGCATTCTGGCTGCACCGAATGTTGCTGGTACAGATTAAATTCTTCTTTTTTTTTTTTGATAGAGTCTCGCTCTGTCACCCAGGCTGGAGTGCAGTGGCGCGATCTCAGCTCACTGCAACCTCCACCTCCCGGGTTCACGCCATTCTCCTGCCTCAGCCTCCCAAGTAGCTGGGATTACAGGTGCCCGCCACCATGCCTAGCTTTTTTTTTTTTTTTCTGTATTTTTAGTAGAGACGGGGTTTCACCATGTTAGCCAGGATGGTCTCGATCTCCTGAGCTCCCGACCTTGTGATCTGCCCGCCTCGGCCTCCCAATGTGCTGGGATTACAGGCGTGAGCCACTGCGCCGAGCCAGATTAAATTCTTCTTGTCCCCTCTTTCTACCCTGCCAGTCCTCTTCTTCCCTCCTCAGAAAGGCATAGGGCAGGCCAGCAAGTCTGATGCATACAAAGTCATGCATTGGGAATGCAGAACACCAGCTTTCATTTCTTTCCCAGCATACACAGGCTCTACATGTGATTCTATAGTTTCTTCCCTCAATTACTTTTGGTAAAAAAAGCTAACCTCTTCATTAACAATATGTTTTACAGAGCCTATGCCTTAAAGACTCTGTGCTGACCTATCCGTCACTGCTTAGGTAGATAAGGGAGGTGGGAAGTGGGGAGTTAGAAGTAGTTGAAGGGTCAGTCTTTCGGTCCTGTAGTAAATGCTGAGGAAGGTTAACTGGCCAGTTTAGGGAGGTTCCATTTACAATGAAGGCTACTTAAATTCTTTTCTTTCAGAAGGTTCTAATCAACAATTCTATGAGAAAAATTTCCATTCAACATATGGTGGACAATCAATTAATGTTAGATATTATGATCATTATTATTAAAGTAACCACTACATTTAAAATCACTACTCAGCAATTTTAAAAAATCAGCTTTTTACCAAATGTTTTATTGCCCAGAATATCACGATGCCCAACACCCTCATTCTAGGAGCACTTGGTTAATTAAGGCTCATTACATAAGAACGAGATTGAAGTATTGTAAATAGAAAAAAAATACATGTTTCTATTGATGGTTTATTCTTTTAAACAAGTTTGTGCCTGAGTAACTTACAAAATAATTTTATAAAATATTTGCTATTTATTTATTTTTTTATTTGCTCAGGGAAACGCATCAGGCTAAGAATTACGAGAGTGAAACACTGGTTTCTTCTTGGACACTTTTCAGCTCTGCCCTTTACCACCCTACTTAGCCTCACTGGGCCTCATTTTCCCTCCTGGCAAAGTGACACAGTCAGACTAAGTGATCTCCAATGTTTCTTTCCATTCTAAAACTCTATGGTTCTATAACATTCTCGATTTATTGAGCCACTGTTTCACTGATTCATTCAATAAACATTTATTGAAGCCCAATTCTGTGCCAAACTCAATTGCTCTCCTGCTGTCAAAATCAGGCAACATGCTAGAGTTAAAATGTCTTTAAAGATTTCTGATGGCTGCTGCTTTTAAAAGGAACTTCCCATAGCAACCCCTACCTCTTTGTGCTTCTAGAGCTAGCTCTCCTATTATTCTGTGAGGACTTACAAATTCAGAAAGACAAAGGAATATGGAAAGGCCTGGTATTCACAACCTACTAGATGTAAATTTCCTATTCCTAATCACCTTTCTTCCACAACCCAGAAAACAATACCTTCAATGGATTTGCTAGTGTTACAGATTGTGTTTGATTATTTGTCCCCAAATTTAAAGTACTTCTTCATATAATTGCAAATATACGCATAGAAAATAAAATATTTTAAAAGAAAGCTAATATTATATACTATAAGTCTTAATTTGAGATTATACATATTTATCCAATAAAAGTATAGAAGGATCAATCAATACTGACTAGTGTTTCCCTATGGGCTCCATGGATAGAGCCCATAATTTGAAATTAGGAGCCCTAGGTTCAATTCCTCACTTTATGGTTGGTGCTATATGTCCAAGAGCAGTAAATGTAGCTGAGTCTGACTTTATTTCAATATAATGAACATAGATATTCTGTTATGCTGCATTTTCAGATTTTTAAAAAATTAAGATCTTTAATATAAATTATGAAACTGTTCTTATTAATTATATACTGGGTCTTCCATAACTTCCCGTTACCCCATCTATCATACCTGTATTGAAAACATCATTAATCAACATTCTCTAGCTCAGTATTTTTCATCCCAGATTCCCTATCTGGTTTGAGTACTGTTTTCTCAAGTATCTGAAGGGTAGTATAAAACCAGCATCATTCCAGATGCATAGGAGATAAGTTATTTCATTAAATAAGACAGACTCCTTAGGGTTTTATTCCCGTCCCAAGTTCAACAGAGTTACAGATTAAGTGCAAACACACAGAATTTATGAGAAAGACTTGAGGTAACTCACAGAATAGAAGGAATTGCTAAACCACGAATTCTTGGAGAGGAAGATACTCTGGGTAAACCCAAACTCTTGAACTCACAGTTCCTGGTCTCCTCTAGGTTTGCACCACTCATATAATTGAGCTCCAGTGAACTTGAGGTAATTCTTTTCAGGTTCTGAATTCCCCAAATCAGAAAACTTGGATAGCTCTACTTGTGTTAGAAGCCAATTCCCAGATCAGTCTTTGTGGCTGGAATAGGGATGAGGGGACAAGATTATAAAGCAGGGACATGCCAGAGAATGGCTGTGAGGGGACAGCCTAATCATTCATTAACACCTGGTATGGTCCACAAGTTAGTATTTAGATCTAGTATTTAAAAAAAAAAATTTTCCTAGGATGATGAAATTATTACCATCTCTTTTTTAGTTTTACCTTTGACATAAATTTAGATCTTAGGATCCAAGGTAAATAATGAATTTCAGCTGAATTGTGACAAGCTTTATTTCAATTGTGCATCTTTATCAGAGATCTAAGCTAAACACAGAATTATAAACTTTATAGTTGGAAGAGGGAGATCCATAACATTTACGAGACTTTCTCTGGTGCACAGGCGAAGTTGGGATGAAAAACTGGGTCTCTAGATCAGTTGACTCAAAACAGAGATGATCATCAGAATCACCTGGAAAACTTTCTACAAGAGTATATTTCCAGGAACCCTACCCACTTCCACTTTAACAATATTGGGGTGGATCTCTTGCTAACATATTATTATTTTTTTAGTTTCTAGTTAGTTCCAATGACCAGTTTATTTTAAAACTCAATGTTTTGCAGTTTTTGCTTTTAATTTTTGTTAAAGAAATGGGCCTTCTCTCACCTTATTCTCCATGAAAATAATTCACATCCCAACAAATAGCACAAAATACACAATAAAATAGACACATTATAAGAGAAGCAATCAAAAAGCAGAGCACATTGTCACTACTTAGTTTGGAAGCAATTTCATTGGTTAGAGAACATTCTGGCCAAACTGAATAACACTACCTCTTGAATATGTAGTTATAATTCACAATACTTCCATTCACTTCTCAGAGTGAGCGTTCTCTGGTCTCATGGATAGGACGCATTCCACATTCACAGGCTCCAATTGCTTTTTTTGTTGTTGTTTTCTTTTCTACTTGTGGGTAAACCAAATACCATATTAAAACAAATTATTTCTCCTTTTAAAGATCATTTTCCTTGACAGTATATGGCAAAAATATTTGATATATTTTATAGCCCATGCTTGAAATAAGTTGTCTCCTCCACCATTAACCATATGATATGCCTTCCCTACCAACAATTCACAAAACTATACAAGTTAAAGAGATCTTCCATTCAAGGGCTTTGAAAAATTTCTTCCCAGTTACCCAGGACACATATACAATACCTCAGCTTTCTACCCTCAATACACTCTTCTACTTGTGATAGGAATAGAAATTCTTCTAAATTGATTTCATAATCCACCAATGGTTCACCATCCAAACTTTGGAAAACACAAACGTTATTCAACCTTTCCATTTTATACATTAAAAAAATGAAGGTCCAGGGAAGTTAATAGACTTGGCAAAGACCACTCAGCTTATGAATGCATTGGACTAGAATTTGGCTTTATGACCCTATATCCTGTGTTCTTTCTATCACACTTTTATGCATTTATCATTTTTTTCTTTCTTTCTTTCTTTCTTTTTTTTTTTTTTTTGAGACAGATTCTTGCTCTGTCACCCAGGCTGGAGTGCAGTGGCATGATCTCAGCTCATTGCAATCTCCGCCTCCTGGGTTCAAGCGATTCTCCTGCCTCAGGCTCCCAAGTAGCTAGGATTACAGACTCCCACCACTAGGCCCAGCTAGTTTTTGTATTTTCAGTAGAGACAGGGTCTTACCATGTTGGCCAGGCTGGTCTCGAATGCCTGACCTCAAGTGATCTGCCTGTCTCAGCCTCCCAAAGTGCTAAGATTATAGGTGTAAGCCACCATGCCCGGACACTTTTCTGCATTTTTAATGCCATTTTGGATAGATTTAAATGGACATCTTTACAGTTTCAGGATGGAAATATTCATTCTGTAAAATACATGACAGTCTATTTTTTCATCATGACATTCCATCCTAATTTGATCCCTATCCTAGATACCTAATTTTATAACTCCTTGAGAAAATATATAAAATTATACCTTCATAACTTTCATATAATCAAACAATATTATCATTTTTCTGTTACAATATCAAAGTGAAGTAATCATCCCAACTACCTCACCATATTTGCACTAATTATGTTAGCCTCTCAACATCAAATTTTGTTTTTTGCAGTTTCTTTTCATATGTATTATTATAAAATTCTTTGACTCAAATGTTCGAATATTCCTACTTAAAAACAGATAATGGATTTTATTTTGATAGAATTCCCACAATAGGAATAGACTCTATATCATTTTGTAATAAAAATTACATTAAATACACATCACAATCTTGACGAGAAGTTAATTATTAGCAAATGCTAACAATTACCAGGCATCTCAGGCTAAGGTGATGTGAGAAAATGTCTAGTATTCATAAGTTGTCAAATTAACATCAAAGCAATATCAACTAAAGAGCATTAAAAAATAGCAATGCCTTGGCCCCAGACCCCACCTCAATGTTCTCTTTTAATTATCACCATAAGACTTGGGCACTGGGAGTTTTAGAAGCTTCTCAGGTGATTCTAATATGTGGAAATGGTAAAAACGCAGAGTTTAGAGAGATATGACCTAGGCATTCAATGTGTAATATCTGTGGCTCTATAACTGTATAAACTTTGTGTAATAATATCACAAAACCTTATGGTTCTTTAAACTAAAATTATACTTTAGATATGATCTATGTATAATATTGCCTTAAATTTGCATACTGCTTATGTAACTTATCAGGAAACTGGCATATTTTCTCTTATAAAGGAGAAACACTTAAATGCATTTCTTCCTCCCCTTTCCCAATTAATATATGCTTAGATGTTACATTATCAGACTGACCTTTGTAAGCATCTGATTTTAACTCTCAAGCTTTCTTTGTAAGGGCCAATATTTATGTAAAACCACACAAATGAATATGCAATCCCAGAAGAATAAATAACTATGCCAATATTACATACTGCCTTTGCAAAGGAAATATCATCTGAGAGTAATATAGGATTGTATCTTGCGACTGACTTAGACAATCACATTTGCCCAGATACAGAGAAATCCCTAATTAGCTAAATTCAGTTGTTTTCAATTTTTTCTAAATTTATGATCGTAGCCTATCTCTAAAACTCATTGTACAAATATATATGCTTTAAGTATTTCTGGTGAAACCTTATGTAACCATTCAAAGAAGGCAACTGTCGATATTATATTCTAAAGAGAAGGTCATGGAAGAAAGTCTTGGGATAAAATAAGTAGATAAAGAAATAAAGACAAAGAACAAGAGCTAGTCCTGAAACAGTTTAAGAGAAAAGTAGACACTCCATCCATCAGTAGCTTTTCCTGGATAGGCTCATCTTTCTTTAACAAGTTGACACATTTGCAAACTGCAGGCTGAAATTTTAAACGTCTAAGCTGCTTTTCCTTCTTCTAATAGAAAAGGTACAAAAAATGGTTTTTGCTTCCTTTACTGCTGTGCCTTAATAAACATTTGGCTCAAGGTTTTAACCAAGCCAAATGTTGACTAAAAGCCTCCTCATAAAAGGCTTTAATACATTTTTGCTTGTGTTTTCTTTACATGTATTTCAATTTGATGACAAATAATTTCTTCCCCATTTCCCTCATTTGCTGCTGCATGTTGGACTAATTAAAAAGCAGGCTCTTTGGAAGCTGGAATGAGAGAAAATGGAAGAGTGGGCAGGTGGGTCAAGATTGAATGTCCCTGGCTCTGGCAATACATAGGATTCTCTTCAGTGAAACATTCTCCATCTAGCTCAGATTCAAGGAAGGCACCGAAGAAGCCCTTCAGCCTTTCCTACTTCAGGTCAGAGTTCTTTTTATATTTGGCATACAACCGAGAGACATCAGAATTCTATACAAAATGGAAAGTTTTATTCTTCCCAGCAATTCCACTGCATTCTGTGGCCTCTTGGTGCTGTGGGCAGCCTTAGCAGATTTGAGGCATCTCTTAGGGCAAAGCGGTTTTGAGGTATTCTTGGCGACTGGGAAGAATAATTTAACTTCTCTTGGAATAATATCACATTCAGCAGAAAAGATCTGCTGTGCTCAAGGTCATAAATCTTGGCTCTGTGAATATTCAGTTATTCAGCAGAACAGCCACTCCAAGCCTTCAGAGCACTTTTGGATGCTGCTGCAGGTGTTTCCTGTAGAGAACTCCCTGACATCCACTGAGTTCTTGCATCTGCCTTTACCCTTCTTGATGCTGTCCATTCTGCTCTCTGAACAAACATATTCTCTTACACTTATGCACATGTATGAAATCCTAGAGATTTCCCTGAATCAACATATGCATATAGATATATGATGGACAGAATAAAGTATCAAGGGATAAAATATATTTTTAATTTTGTATTTCACTTGAAAATTGTAAGGACCATTTTATAATGTATTGCTTGCAAAATAAGTCATGGAAGCCCTGAAAAATTAATCAATTCACTAATCAAAGAAACATATATTAAAGACCTACTATGCATGAGGCACCATGCTAATTGCTTTGAAGAAGACAAAGTTGAATTAGACAGGGATCCAGTTTACAAGATATTTACAATGCAAAGGGGGATACAAGACATATAAAAGGCTATGGAACTTAAAAAGAAGAAAAAACAATTCTAAAGTATTGAGATACATTTCATTACAAGGCAAATCTTAGATAACATCTTGAAAGAGGACACATTTAAAATTTAGGAGATTTGAGGAAAAGATCCTCCAGAGTATGATATAAAAATGAGTGAAGGTTTTGAGGTGAGAAATAAAATTAATGAAATTTGACTCGATCTAAGGTGACATCATGAAGAATAATGGCAAATGAAGTTAATAAGTTTGTTTCAGGCCAGCTTGTAAAAAGTCCTTGAAAAAAGAAAAAGGAATTCCTTATATTTTTATTAGAATATCCATCTTAAAGTGAATGGTGAATTATTGATTGGCATGGATTTAGGGACAATTGCATGTCATCTTTTTCTGTTATTAGTATTACTGTTTTGAAGAATGCAATCTACCAAAATTGAAGGTAATAGTTTCAATGTAAAAATATGCAGAGTTAAGCGTTTGGAAAGCACTATTCAGGTTTAGTATATAGGAGGAAATAGGGATGGGAATGGTCTATTACTAGACATTTTTATTCTTCCTACTTATCAAATAGACCAATATGTGTGGAGGAAAAGCCTTCTTCTAAAAAGGGTTTGTTTTACACTACCTGTCAAAGAGGATATTGGTTCACTCAAGGAAACTAAGTTATATTCTATTTAACTGTGAGATATATTCCAATAAATTGCAGTAAACATAATCTTAAAATATTATAAAGAGGCCTCAGATTGTTTAAAAATACTATATTGAATATATGAGAAATAAAAGCTCAAGATATTCTTTAAAGTATATCCTATGTAAATGCCAATTTTTCTTTACAGAATAAATCTAACTACAAATGCATACAGGGCCTAAATATATTTTTATCTTGATTTTGTTCCTTTTCTTGTGTTTAAGAGCCCTGACTCCAGAATCACAAGAGACAAACTGCCACTTCATCACTTATTAGCGCTGTTTGTGTGGGCAGGCTATTTAAACATTCCAATCCTTTATTTTCTCCTCAATAAATTGTAAAAAAAAGTAATGTTTACTCAGAGGTTAATGAGTTGACACTTATAAAATTATTAGCATGGAGCCTGGCCTCAGATATCATTCTCTTCTGTATACAATTTTTATGTGTTTGTTCTTTAAACTTATAAATCAGTTCCATCAGACTTTTTACTTCATGGCAAGCTGCTTTTATTTCTAATTAAGAAAACATTCCTGACTCCAAAATTTATAAAGACTTTTTCTCTCTTTTCTTCAAGTATTTCTATAACATTGTAATGCATTTAGTGTTTATCCATATGAACGGTATGATATTGGAATCTAATTTTACTTTTCCACATGTATAATCAGTTCTTCCGATACTGTTAAGTATTGTATCCTTTATGTAATTATTAAATATCATATATAACAGATAAAAAACTCTGTATGTACTTACATCGATTTCTAGACTCCATTTTCTCTAAACATCCCTTGTCTGTTTCTGTGCCAGAACTAGACTGTTTTAATTATAGTTGTTTCATAGTACCTTTTGGTATCATGCTGGTAACTTCCCTAAACTGTTACTTTTCTCAAAAAATTTAGGCTTTTATAAACATTTAGCTTGCATATCAATTTTACAGTTTGTCAAGTCCCTAACCTCCTCCCCAAATTGAGACTGTGAATTGAATTGCCCTCAGTCTATAATTTAAAGTTTGAATCATCCTATTCAGAGGCACAAAGTTGTTGGTTTTTTTTGTTTGTTTGTTTTTTACTTATTTTGGTTGTGCTTTGTACCCTTCCCTAAAGTGTTATTATTTTCTTTATGTAAATCTTACATAAAACCAGTATTTTTTAACGTTCAGGTAAGATTTTTATATTCCTAGGATCTTCATGTGGAAAAAAAAAACTTAATGATTTAAACAGCTATATTAACTTGATATATGTAATTATTTGAGAGAAAATCTAGTCAATAACTTTTGCCTTCCCACTCCAGACTTCTACCCTGATTATGTTAGGTAACTGAATTGGAAAGAAAAATATTTATTCTTTATATTATTTTTTCTGATCTGAAAAAGATAGCTTGTTTCCACCAGATACATTCATATTAATAGCCATCAAGCTATACTACTTTCAAATTATATTTATGACAATAAATGATTCCTACAAATTTTAGAGAAGACTATCAAAAGCAAAAGAAATAAATACAAAAATTAACTGGGAACAAATAAGCAACCCCTGGAGGATTCATCTCTATGACCCTACAGTCCGAAACTAAAGAATAATACATCCTGATGGACGGCTATGGAATGAAATAAAATTCTCTATTACCAGTTCACTAGAAGAATTTTTTTCCCCCAGGTTTGATCTCTTTATTTAGTTTATCCTCCAGGTTAAAAGAAAATTATTCACTATTACTCACCAATAACTCAGTAAATAAAAATTTTGCAAATTCAGCCATTTCAACATGCCAGGGAATATCTAAAGGTGTATATATACAAATATTTATATATAAATTTTGCATATGTATATAAAAGAAATATATATATAATATATATGAATATAAACATTCAGGTAGGATATTTATATTTATATATAAGGATATATAAATAAAAAATGTATTTATATTTCTTTTTCAAATGCACAGCTCTTATATACATATTTCTTTTTCAAAAGCATGGCTACATAAATTTCTTCATTTTGATGTTCTGCTTCTCTTCAGTTTGATCTTGCATATCACAGTGCATTTATAAAATCTGGAAAGCCATCTAAAGAATTTCAAACTTTCTGAATACAAAATGTCTTTTTCCACCAGACAAGAGTCACCCCAGTCACTAAACAAATTGACCAATTTCAGAGTATTTCCTGCTTCTACTTGTTACTGATGCAGCATCTGGCTGGAACAGAGTGCGACTGGATGCAGAAAAGTTCATGATTGCTTGATTGACTGATTTTGATGTTGAAAATCATGTAAAATTCATATATATTCAAAATGTGATTCAAAATAGA
The DNA here is from genome assembly GCF_000001405.40 of Homo sapiens. NCBI lineage: Eukaryota > Metazoa > Chordata > Mammalia > Primates > Hominidae > Homo > Homo sapiens. The sequence continues at coordinate 50,645,267 of NC_000002.12, forward strand.
TATCCAAAGACACATCCCAGAAAATCAGTGTTTTTCTATAAGCTACATTAAAAGTTTTTCTAAATCTTCATTTCTAAGAAAAAATAAATAATACAAGAATGTATATAAATAAGAATGCTACCTCTGGAATTAATAGCACCTGCATCTGTCTACCTCTTTAGCAGGCTTTAGTTTTCTTTCTATAAATACTCGTCATCACATAAACTATAACGTATTTATTTATTTCTACATCTCCCATGAAAACGTGAGCTCCATGAAGGCAGGGACTTTTGTTGTTATGGTAGTCGTCATGGTGATTGTTTACCACTGCATCCCAGGGACTGGGAGAGTGCCTGTCATGTACTAAGCATTCAACAGATATCTGTTGAATTAATTATTCATAATTACTTAATTCACAATTTTAACATGAGCATAAGAACTAAGATCAGACCAAATAAGCCTTTTCAAAATATTAATGAAATTTTATATTATTATTATCTACTACCCTTTTAAACTTTACTGTGCTTAAAAGAAAAAATCCAGCTTGATTACAGAGCTCAAAGAATGCTATTGCCTGAATGTAAGATCGAGAATAGCTTTTCTTTACATGATTCCCAGTCTAAGGAGAGAAAGCAGATAGTAAATCACACATTAAACAAATCATTCAATTACATTCGTTTAAAGTGCTGCTACCTAGGAAGGAAACTGAAATGTGCCTTGAGAACAGATACTCAACTGGCATGCTGGAAGGGCTTCCCTAGAAAGGGATGGTTTGGTTTCTAGGACTTGAAGAATAAGGTCTAAATCAGGTAGAAAAGGCAGGGAACATTCCAGGCATCCACAAAGATATATAGAGAGGCTGAGTCCAGGAAGATCTTGACAAACTCTAGAAACTGTGAGACTGGTAATATACTATTAGGTTGGTGCAAAAGTAATTGCAGTTTTTGCCATTTCTTTTGCACCAACCTAATAGAAAAGAATCAGTACAAAACAAAAGGCCGCTATTCTGGTGTCAGATTTTCTTCTCACACTGAAGCCAGCTGGAGTCCTTAGAACTTTCCTGAACTTTTCTGCATCCAGCAGCACTCTGTTCCAGGCAGATGCTGCATCAGTAACAAGTGGAAGCAGGAAATACTCTGAAATTGGTCAATTTGTTTAGTGACTGGGGTGACTCTTGCCTGGTGGAAAAAGACATTTTGTATTCAGAAAGTTTAAAATTCTTTAGATAGCTTTCCAAATTTTACAAATGCACTGTGATATGCAAGATGAAACTGAGGAGAACCAGCTCTTTGGCTGCAGATCTGAGATCTTTCTATGGGAGGACAAAAAGGAGCTAAATCACATTAATCTATTTTCCACACTAGTGACATGAACTAGGTTCAATTATTCAACTACGGAAAAGTCCCCTTTTTATGATTCCTCAAACGGTGTAATTTTTCCTGCCTCTGTACTTTCATGTTGTCTTTTTTTTTTTTTTTTTTTTTCTCTCTGAGCTGTTCCACTAGGCACATATTTCTAGAATCAGCTGAAGTTCCACCATGATTCTCTGTTTGGACTATCCTTCCTCTGAACTCCTCCAATATTTTATGCCCATTACTATACAACTCTTGATTGCATCTGAGTCCCTTGAGGAGACAGGGAGGAACAGGACAGGAGACAGGGAGGAAGAAGGACAGACTATGCCTGTGAATACAGAGTATTTTCCTACAGAGAATATTTCTAATGAAGATGTAAAAGATCCACTCAAAACTCAAGCATTATATTGTTTGAGAGGGCAATTTTTTTTTTTTCAATTTAGGTGGTCTGTTTTATGGTTTCTTCTATGGAATATCTGTGCAACAGGAGATCCTCTTGAATAATTACCCGCTGAACAAACTGTATCTCTCAAACACATCTCAATTTTAGACTTGTTGTTTAGGTCATTCCCTGGAGAGTGTCTTGAAGAAGAAAAAAAGCGGAAACTTACAGATAGTAGGCCCAGGGAAAATATAAATTATTTTATATCCACTTTTGAGGGCCTCATATTTTCTTGGCTTAGGTACTCAGGAGACAGATATAAGGCATAAAATCTTTAACATTATTAAAACCAATTCAGAAAAATCCCTTAACCTTCCAACACTAAAGCAGATAGAGAACATGAAAACTATCTATGGAACTGAAAATCAGTGATCAATACATCTATGAAAAATGTTACTATTTTATAAGACATCCAAAGAAATACACAGGAAAACAAAATAGAAATAGCTTACAACATTCGACACTGCTTGTGTATAATCACACAAGCACGTGGTATCCTAACTAGTGGAAATGCAAAGTAGCGCATACTATGGGGAATATAAATTGGCAACTCATATAAAGACCCAAAGAAAAGCTTTACTCTTGTCCTCATAATTCCACTTCCAAGTAATACAGCTTAGGAAGAAAGTCAGGGACAAGAACAAAAATTTGTATACCAGGATGTTCATTACAGCCTTAAAATTCAGGAAAGTTTGTAAATAATTAAAATATTACACTATTCAAAAACAAGCAATTTATGACACAACATTAGGATGGAAAATTTGTAGTCAGTAAAAATCATCTTTTCACATTCTAATGACAGAAGAAGAAAAATACTCCTTACATTAAGCTAAGCAAAATAAATGTAGGGCATACAAATTATACTATAAATTGTACTGTACATGTGTGTATATACATATATACACACATACAAATAAAGGAAACAGACCAAAATGATATCATGTATTTATTTCCTTTAAACCTTTGTGTACTTTCCCAATTCTCTACAATGAATATTTTTATGACCAAGAAAAAGTTAATAATATTAAATAATTAATTTAGACTCATTTCATTATATGCATGAATTATTCCACATAAATAGCTCCTTGTTACAATCAAGCCAAAGAACTGTCAAACCATATTGGGATCTACAGAGACTCAATCGCCAACAACGACATAAGGCAAAACCTCCCACAGAGACCCTCTTCTCTTTCACATAACACTGTATTTTTTAACAATGTTTAACAGTTGGAAATGCTGAGAAGCCACAGATGAGATCATTAGGAGAAAGTATTTTCCATCATGCTTTTGTCAGGGAAAATCCCTTAGTAGTTCTATTTCTGAGTTATATTTTTAGCCAGGCTGACAAAATTTAAAGCAAAGTATATAAAATGTGTATTTGCAAGCATCTTTCTCTACCAAATGGAATTCACTTTAACTATCACACTGATAAAGATCATTTATCATAGGCTTGTCTTCTGCATGACCCTGTATTTGGAGGGTGTGAGAGACTACAAGACAGAAGTGGTCAGGACCTCAAAAGATGGCACGTGAGCCGCTGCTTCAAAAAATTAACCAGACATACCAGAAAAATATGATGATGTTTATGGTCTGATAGGCATCTCTGTGATCTGTAATTTATGTATCCTATCTCTGTGCAACCAATGGATTTAATGGGTCAGCAAGCTTCAGGAAAACCCTAAATGGATTTGGGTTCAGCAAACAGCCGGTCATCACTTCTACCCCATGCTTCTACCCCACTTCTACCCACCGTGCTGAACTGCGAAGCCAAGGACTTGCTTAAACTATCAAATCCAGTTTCCTCATAGAACTTTTGGCCCTTCTATTTGTAGGTCCATCTTTGCCTTTGGTTGCTGACATCACATTCCCAGGGACTGTTTTCTCTTGTATAAACATATATCCATGTAAATCCTTAAAATTCATGGCCTTTGGGTTTTTCCTTGTCAGTCAATCTGAATGTCCCCTTCCTCAGATCCTAATAGCTCTGAGCTGGATTAGGTTTTCCCTGATTTGCCCAGCAGTGAATTCAGCTTAATTTAAAATCCACTCTGCCTGAGAGTTTCTATTTTTACTTTATGAACCCATAGGACTGATGAACAATAGTTAGAATTGTATTCAAATTTTGGATAGTTTGAATTATGTATTAGTTGGGAGGTTCTTCTTTCAAGGAAAAGAATACAAAATTAGGTACAAGCATGTATACACACATACACACATACACACACACACACACACACACACACACACACACACAAAGAAATCACAAGTATTTACTGAATACGCCAGAGCTGTTTTCTCTGAGATTTCTTTAGGCAGTTATCTATAGACATTGTCATAGAAATGCTTCCAGATTACAGTGTGGCTTCCTCTCCTTGTGGAGAAAACTCTGTAGCTCCCAAAACTTCACTAGGGGAGGTGCAAATGAGAAACCCTAGATTTTAAGGTGAAGAGAATCAAACTTACATTTTCCATTTGCAGAAATGTGTTCATTAGCTTAGTGAGATTGGTTGGTTTTGCTTCTTATTGTCTGTTACCCCCTCTTTGCTTGAGGGTGGATGTCTGTTTCTGACAATGATTTTTGTGACCCTGAAGCCATGTAAAATGGAACTAGTAATACCTACTGTATCACTTGATTGTTGAGAAGATTAAGTGAAATCGGAGTGAAATGGATTAATATATCATTGTCTGAAAATTGTTACACTAGAAGGCAACTCCTTAGAGCAAGGGAATTTTGTTGACAAACTAGCACTCTTGCTGGGACATGATACAGAGTTCAATGATTAGGGGCTGATTTGCTTGAGGAATGTGAATGAATCATAGATGCTATAATTGCCCTTGTTCTGTCCCTAAATGAAGAAAAACGAAGCAGCTGTGGTCATCTACATTCTCACTGTCTAATAGCCACAAGTGGTCTAAATCCAGACTAAAATACAGGGGACTCTGGTTGCATTTATATTTATCCCCCAGCTGTTTCTGTCTCCCTATTTTACCAATTCCAATTCAAAATGCTCTTAGCCCTGAAGAATCTGAACTGCCTCAGTTGTGCACTGTCCTCTGGGTTTGCAGATGCCATAGAAATGTCTGTTCTGATAATAATGTACTGAGGGCATCATGCTTATTTAACCTCTGGTGAGGTAGTTAGGAAAATGCTTCTGATACTGGGTAAGATCCTGAATAGGAGGCCCATGCTTTGTGATGCCAGACCTCTTGCTTTTTACTGCCTTTATATACATGATAAAACATGATTTCAGTCAGAGCAAGTGGTATATGACTCCTGACATTGTGTGATAACACAGCACATTGTTTCTGTGGAGAAGTCAACACAGTTCTGGAAGGATGACTCGCTTTCCGGTTTTATGCTCTCTTCCCCTGAATCCTCATAAGAAGCTGCTCTGAAGTTTAAACATCGAATAAAAATGCTTCCAAACAATTAATGCGACAGCAAACACACCAATAAACCTATCGGCAGCAGCCTCAGTATTTTACCTCAGTCTTTAATGTCAGCTTGCTTTTTTATTCCAGAGGTCAGAAAAACAAATGCTCTGTGAGCTCATTACGTGCATGCCTAAACAAGCAGAAAAGTAGGTGCTTTTCCAAATGCCAGACAATGAAATCTAGATTTTTCTCTTTGTACTTCACTGTAATTCGGGTGATAGAATACTTGCTAATACAAGCTATTAAAACAAACCAACAAACAGAAATCAGTCTCTCATAGCCTATTTTAAAACTCCCTCCCTGTGTTCTTAACTGTTGACTTTTAAACCAAAAATGCCAGTCAAGAAGTACAAAGTGATCTTTAGCACTGTCTAGCTTAAAATGTTGATAGTTAATATTTGAATATAAAAAAGTATAAAAATAAATAATAGACAACTCATTTTAGCTAACACTTTGGAATTAACTTTGAGTAGTAGAAAACTACACAATATAAACCTGTTTTTCAGTGGTTTCTGCTATCAAGTGAATTGATGGATTATAGTAACCTTTGTTACCTGGCACTCAGAATACTACTTTTAAGCACAGGTTCTTTTAATAAGAAACTAATTGATATCCATAATGTGACCCAAATAAATTGTAAGGTCCTTGAAATTAAGTTCTGGAAAAAATAAGCAAATTCTTAGGCTTATTTTATTTTTTCTGTAATTCTTTAAAAATGAGTGATCTACATGTCATACATGTATATGGTAATTCTCTCCTGTATAGAATACCCTCTGGCCATCCTGAAAAATAAAATTAACTCTTGAGCTTTATGAGATTTTCTAAAGAAAAAGTATCTCTATAAAGAATGTTAGACTGGGCATGGTGGCTCACACCTGTAATCCCAGCACTTTGGGAGGCCGAGGCAAGAGGATCACTTAAGCTCAGGAGCTCAAGACCAGCCTGGGAAATATAGTGAGACCTCATCTCTACCAAAAATAACATAACATAACGTAACATGACATGACATGACATGACATGACATGACATGACATAACATGACATAACATAACATAACATAAAATACACTGGGAGGCTGAGGCAGGAGGGAGGATTGCTTGAGCAGAGGAGATGGAGGCTGCAGCGAGCTGTAAACATGCACTGCACTCCGGCCTGAATGACACAGTAAAACTCTATCTCAAAAAGAAAGAAAGAAAGAATGTTAACTTGCCGACACACATGCTCTCTTCCATTCTTTTTCCTCTCCTTACACCATCCCTTCTTTTTTCCATTACTCACAATGATGGGATTAGTACAGCTTGTACTGGGGCTTTGGAACTGTAATAAACAAGGAGCAATTTTCTGGTCCTAATTAACTCCTGTTAAAATAAGCACTGCACAACAATAGTCTACCCAGAGTTGCACTGAAAAAAACCACAACAATCCTAACACTCTATGAATAATGAACCCTATTTAAATGAGCAGGTTATTGTAGGGTCTTAATGAGCTGCTCTGTGGCCACAGGGCACATACTGCATCCCAGAGTAATGGAGCATTTTCCTGCAGACACTTGCAGGCTGGGCTAGCAGCAGAACAGCTTCTTCCCTGGTAAAACCAGAGAGGTAGCATCAAAGGTTTGTTATGTTTCCATTTTACTTTTTCACACACCTCTTCTGCAACTGACATCAGCCATCCCCATCCCTTTTTGAAATGTTGTCTTCCTTCTTTTACCTCCAGGCTTCTATATTCAAGCATCCTCCTCCTTTATATCTTTTCTGAAGTATAATTTACAGACCATAAAATTCACTTCGTTTAAGTATACAATTCAATGAGTTTTGGTAAATTTCCAGTGTTATGCAACCATCATTGCAATCTAATTTTACAACATTTTCATTGCACCAAAAAGAAACTTTGTGCCCATTCGTAGTCATTCCCTCTTCCCACCCCCAGGCCAACCTAAGCAAACACTAATCTTTTTGTCTGTATAGGTTTGCCTTTTTTGGACAATTAATAGGGAACCACATAATGTGTGGACTTTTAGCATAACGTTTCTGAGGCTCCATGTAGCATATAGCATGTGGAACACAATACTATTCCACTGTATAGATATACTACATTTTGCTTGCTCACTCATCAGTTGATGCACATCTGTGCTATTTCTACTTCTTGTTATTAAGAATGCTGCTGCTATGCTGTGAACATCTGTGAACGAATTTTTGTATAGACACATGTTTTCATTTCTCTTAGGTAGGTACCTATGAGTGGAACAGCTGAGTCATATGATAAATCTATGCTTAACAGTTTAAGAAACTGCCAAAAGCTTTTCCAGAGTTTTGCATTACTAGCAGCAATGTATGAAGGTTCCATTTATCCATATATTTACTAACACTGGTTATTGTTGATGTTTTCCATTATAGCCATCCTAGCTGGCGTGAAGTGTTATCTTGTGGTTTTAACCATTTCCCTATTGGCTAATGATGTTGAGCCTCTATCATTTGTGTCTGACTGTTGTTTCTGTTTTATTTTGTTTTCATTCCTCGTTTTAGTATTCCTTGACTTTTGTAATGTCCCCTTTTTCCTGTATACCTATTTCCTGATCCACATGGATCATGTTGACTCCCACTCATATGCAATTAACTACCATATCTTAATGAATGCTGCTCATGGCTCATTCTCAATCTATTTATCTCCATGAAGTTACTGATACCATATGTTAAAAGAAAAACTTTAGACAAACCAAATCTAGCAGAGTTTATTTGAGAAAATAAATGATTTATGAATAGGGCAGCAGTCTGGACCAAAAATGGTTCAGAATGCTCCACTCTACCACATGTGCAGTCTATATTCATGCCCATAGAAAAGGAAGTAACATACAGAAACAACCTGATTGGCTGCAGTCAATGTTTGCCTTATATAGTCGTATTTGGCAGCTTTCAGTCTCTTAATGGCTGGAGGTTTAGTTGCTGTGATTGATTGAGACTCAGTTACTTTTTACAAGAGTATATACTTCTAGTTTAGGTTATAGCTTGTAAATACACCAACTTAGGTTACAATTCACTATGTCTAGAGAAACTTTTAGGCAACTCTTAAATTATTTATGGAGGCAGTTTTGGCCAAACTTAATTCAATTTCATACATATTTCTACTTGGAAAAAAGGCAGGAAAATTGAATTTTTAATTTACACACAAATAATGAACAGAAGTTCAAATGTACCTTGATTTAATGCATAATATAATTGCGTGAAGTATTAGTATACCATAATCGTTCATAAATATATTGCTTTTACATAAGCATACTGACCACATGATCAGACTTGCCTGTTCTCTTACTGTCTTACGGACAGTGTAGGATTCACTAAGCTGCGGTCATTTCCTCTTTAGAACCTAGCTGTGATCATCTTCTCTGCCTGCCTCTTACTTTGTTTCCTTCATTTTCTTTTGTGACATAATGGCTGTAGCTGAAGCATACAGGTAGAATCTCACTATGCCCCCTACTTTCTTCTCTTTTGGCCTTTTCATCTTTTTTTTTTTTTTTTCTGGTTCTCCAAGTCCATTTATGCATTTATTCATTCTTTTTCTCTTTTTTTTTATACTTTAAGTTTTAGGGTACATGTGTACAACGTGCAGGTTTGTTACATATGTATACATGTGCCATGTTGGTGTGCTGCACCCATTAACTCGTCATTTAACATTAGGTATATCTCCTAATGCTATCCCTCCCCCCTCCCCCCACCCCACAACAGGCCCCAGTGTGATGTTCCCCTTCCTGTGTCCATGTGTTCTCATTGTTCAATTCCCACCTATGAGTGAGAACATGTGGTGTTTGGTTTTTTTGTCCTTGCCATAGTTTGCTGAGAATGATGGTTTCCAGCTTCATCCATGTCCCTACAAAGGACATGAAATCATCATTTTTTAGGGCTGCATAGTATTCCATGGTGTATATGTGCCACATTTTCTTAATCTAGTCTATCATTGTTGGACATTTGGCTTGGTTCCAAGTCTTTGCTATGGTGAGTAGTGCTGCAATAAACATATGTGTGCATGTGTCTTTATAGCAGCATGATTTATAATCCTTTGGGTACATACCCAGTAATGGGATGGCTGGGTCAAATGGTATTTCTAGTTCTAGATCCCTGAGGAATCGCCACACTGACTTCCACAATGGTTGAACTAGTTAACAGTCCCATCAACAGTGTAAAAGTGTTCCTATTTCTCCACATCCTCTCCAGCACCTGTTGTTTCTTGACTTTCTAATGATCACCATTCTAACTGGTGTGAGATGGTATCTCATTGTGTTTTTGATTTGCATTTCTCTGATGGCCAGTGATGATGAGCATTTTCTCATGTGTCTGTTGGCTGCATAAATGTCTTCTTTTGAGAAGTGTCTGTTCATATCCTTCAATCTAATCAGTAGCCAATATAGTGATTCCATTCAAAGGTTCAAACGATGCTTAAACCAAAATTATTATCCATTTCACACTCTCCAACCAAGTGAACAAGAGGAAAGAGGAGAACAAAGCAAGGAACAAAAGAATAAAAAAGGTCTAATTAATTTGCAACCTGGAGAAAACATGTCAGATCTTGATGTAAAATAGAAAAGTCTGGAAAATTGGGATTTTCCAATATGCAGTTATGTGGCCAATTTTAGAGATGCAATAAACTGAGTGTGATTAAATGGTAAATTGGACTGATCAGGTGAGCCATACTTTTCTTGTGAAAAGTAGCAAGCATGGAAAAAAAAAAGATACAGCTCTATTTCCCTTTACTTTTCCATCTGTATCTTTCATATTTTTCAAAATTAAAAAAAACACCAAACTATTTTTCAAGTATTAATAAAGAATCAGGAAGAACTTCATTTAAAACATTTTTGCCTGCCCTTCAAAAAACTCTTTCACTGTTTCAAGGCCATTGCTTCTGGAACCCAGATTTGTTCTAGCTTACAGCCTAGGAATAAGAATATATACTTTCCTGTCAGGATGGCTTTTGAGAAACTCTGAGAATAAAATCTGACCCAGTCCAATCTGACAAGGTTGCTGTGCTTGTTTGAATGTAAAATGATTCACAAAGTGAACCGAAAGTTTTTGTTAATTGTTAAAAAGCCTCAGCGCTGTGGCTTAGTTTAAGAGCTACATCTGGCATTTTGGTAGGAACAAACTACTTATGAATGAGGAATAGTTATATTTTTTGTGTTGTTGTTTTTATTTTTCTTTTGGGGGGGGAGGGAAGAAAGAGGACAGAAGAGAACTAGGACTTAGTATTTTGAAAACTGGGACATCATCACTGGCCTACCCACCACATAAACGTAACTAGTGTATATGATTTTAACTTTGTAATCGTGTACATTGACACTTCTTTTTGATATTCTAGATCTATACAAAGAAAAATACTCAAAGAGATGCAGGAAAATAAATAAGAAAAGAAATTCTCTGGCCAGCAATTATTTAGCAGTAAATTGACATATAAATGTGGTGTAATTAAACTCAAATCACTTTTAAACCTAATTACCGATACAAAGAAATGGGAAAGCATCGACCTCTAGGCTTCAGAAAGCTTAGGTAAAATCATTACAAATCTGTCAGTTGTACCATCAAAATAAATCTGGAATCTAAGCACTTCTTATCATTTTCATTGCTGCCACCCTGGTCTGAGTTACCCGCATTTTCTGGGACTTCTGAAATAACTTCCAAACTATTGTTCCTCAGACTTACCCCACCTCTCATACACCACTTCACCCCCTGCCCCCAAACACACAAAAGCAAAGTGATCTTTTTTAAACTTAAAGTCTAATCATGCCCCTTCTTGGCTCAAAACCCACCCATGAGAAATTAAATAGGCTTTTAAAGTTACGTATCAATTTTAAAAGTAACACTTATAATTCTATACTCTAAAGAGTACCTGAGTCTGTACTAGGACATTTGCTTCCAGAAGTCATGAAAGTGGTCTGAAGAAGTCACAAATAGGAGTTTATAAAGTTCTAGAAGTATCAAGTTTCTAGATTCTTTTCAGTTTTTGCTCTGTTTAAACATTCACACCAACTGAGGTCTGGGGGTGAAAGGGGAAGTTAATTTATCCCCTAAATAATATTTATTTTGTATACAAAAGAATGGTTAAATGTATTCAGTAGTCTAACCTGCTCTTCTTGGCTATTCATTCCTGAATGACAGGAATTCCGTTTGTACCACCCTCATCACCACCATTAATTTCATGATGGACTAGCTACTTCACAGCCCTCATGTCCCCACCACTCCATTCAAGCTCAAGGGCTACTGAAGCATAGTAGCAGCTTACAAAGAAAAAAAAAAAGACAAAACAAACTCTTAGCAATAATGTTATGTCATTCACACTAGAGACAAAATAACTTCATTATTAGAGATGCTATCATTGAAATTAATTCACTGGTTATAAAAGGAAGGCTATCCAAGAATATCTGCAGTTTTGATGCCTTGGAAAATAAAATTAAATGGAAGAGAAATTAACAATAATAACTCAGAAATAAACACTATTAATATTTTATGTAAGTTTTCCACCTTCCTTGATATATGACATAAGCATTTTCTTAACTCAATAAAAACTCTAAAGAAACATAGAAAACAATAACAACAACTTGTGTGGTTTCTCGTCTCTCTCAGAGTAAAAGCCAAAATCCTGAGGATAGCCCGTAACTCTATACAATCTGGTCCACCATTTCATCTGTGGGCTCATCTTCAATACTACCCTAAAGCCTCCAGTTTTGCTTTAGCCACATCCATCTCCCCATTGACTCTTTAATAAGCCAGACAGTTCCCTGGATTTTGGCATTTCAGTGGCTCCTTCCTCTGCCTGCTAAATTCCTCTCCAACATGTTATTCACTGTGTGCTCTCTCACCTCTTCTAAGTCTTTGGTCCACTACCACCTACACCTTGCCTTTACATGCCTTGCTTTATTTTTCTCCATAAAACTTAACTACTGAGTATACCATAGTTAATCACTCATGTTTAAATATTTTTTCGTCCATCTCCTACAGTAGAATATGAGTGACAGAGGACAGGGATCTTCATTTTTTGTTTGTTTGGTATACCCAGGGCCCAGAATGATGCCATACTCATGATAAGCAGTTCCGTAAAGAGCGTTATTCCCTGTGACAGAATGTCAGGAGTGAAGTTGTCAAGTCCTTTTTCTAGAGAAGTGGTGGGTGTTCTTGCTTCTCATTAACTAAGGCACAGCCTGGATTGAAGAGTAGACATGAGATAAGAGTTCTGTGTTCTGCCATCAAAAAGACAAAAAAGAAGTATACATCTTTTCAATTCTTTTATGCTTGAAATTCTCACCTTCCTTTAAATCACAAGGATAATCTGTTGACCCTTACAACAGCTCTGAGCTGTTATTATCCACAACTGAGAAAGAAAGGAAGAGGCTGTGGTATTTACTGAGGTCCTAAATGGCAGAACCAGGACTAGTAAACCATGTTATTAGGTTTCTGCTTCTATATAGTCACAATGAACTGCAGCCACATCTCCCAGAACAATAAATTAGCAAGTAGACAGAAGTCTTTCTTTCCACCCTCAAAAGAGGTTTTTAGCCTTTACAATTAGCTTTTCAATAAAGATACAAGAATAACTATTTCATTGATGTGCTCTCAGCAGATCTTAGACTTTCCATTATTTATTTCCTTTGTTTAGTTCAATGTGAAAGTGCTTGGCTTTAATCTTCATTTCACTTAGTTTTATCAAAATATAAAACCCCTACATTTGCATAGGCTATCCCAGGGTCCAGAAAGCATTCACACTTTGTCCATCTGATACACCCTCAAAACAACGCTAGCTGAGGTAAAAGCAGGTGGGTGTATCTTTACCTCAGAAGGATCCTTGACCTGCCCAATGCGACATCAGTGGTGAGCCTCAGAAACAGGGCAAAAAAAAATTGATCTCTTTAGTGTAAACTCAATGTTTTTAATTTACAGGAAATGCATTCACTGGTGTGTGTGTGTGTGTGTGTGTGTGTGTTTGAGGCAGGGGAGCAATTACATAATAGGAAGAAATTATCTAAATTATTCTTATTTCACATGTCTTCTAGAAATATAATTGTCACTTTTGCACTCCACTTCCACTTCCTGGCAATTTTTCTGCTGCCATAATTCAAAAACAGACTCTTTGGCCGTTCCTTCACATTCCTTTCCCTTTTGTCTTTACAGCCTCATCACTTCCTTCTACCGATCTTCATTTCCTGCTTTTGAGACTTTCCCGCTGCCTCCTCCTGTCATCTTCAGGTCCCAAATGCAGTTTTGCCAGATTCCACATCCAAAATTAACATCATTTCCTCTTTGGCTACACTAGTAAAGGTGCTTCCTTTTATCCCTCCAGATCCATATGTAGCCCAAGTTTGAAGAACTTTCTTCTCCCTTTTTAGAGTTGTATAAGCTTCCTGAGAGCTGGCTCTACAATCTCCATACTCTCCAGCCCACATCACAGTACAGCACTGAAAACAGTGCCTTTTATACTTTGGGTAGGCATAGGTATTTGAGAAATGAGCCATGAACTCAAAAAGATAGCTTCAGGGAAGTCATGAGCAAGGGTGACGGCAGGAAGCACTGCTTGCCTTTCTTCACCACCCAACTTCTGCCCTCTGGCCCTTTTTCAGTCCTCCACTTTGCTCCCCACTGGCATGCCACACATGTGAGACAGCATGAGGTATGACTACTGTTCCATCAAGTAGGGAGGATGCTGAATGCATCAATGACACATTGCCTCAAGGTTCCATTCCACTATAAGTATATAAGCAATTGTTCTTTGGCCAGTGCATGTTTTTATGCAGTAAACTAGTTCTCATTTTGCTGGACATTTATTACAACATTTACCCATTACAAAGAACCTCATTATGTTTAATATATATGAAAACACGTTCATTTGATAGGCCTATTACTTGATCCATTTTATTTGGGTATACAGGATAACACAGGATATTTTCCTTCAATAAAATAGTGAGAAATTTTTGATCTAAGAAGCTTCAATATCACTTTTTTTTTTAGTACGCAACACATTGGTATACTGTCTGGGGGCAATCTATATAAATGGAATGAATCCTACTTAAAAATCATTTGTTGACATAAATTATTGAGAATTTCATATTTTAAAAATATTATAAATTTCTTTACATTTAGAAACCAAATATACTTCTATAAATGCCACACTTATTTGGAATATATTTCTGTACAGTGTAAGTTGAATATTCATTTATATTTTTCTGCAAAAATTAGTTGTTCATTCTTTAATTCATATACATTTTAGCTTCCTTTTTCTTTTTTTTTTTTCCCAAATCCACAACTTTTAAAAATTTTCAACAGGACTTCCCTTTCTGAAAGTTAATGCCTTGATTAACATTTCACAATAAATTATAACTATGATTTATACTTGATTTTTCTTTGATTTCATTCTAAATTAAGTTTCTATTTTAATATGATTAGAGGCTTTGAAGAAACAATGGGATCTGGGAAACATACTTCCGCTTTATATTAAAAAACAGATTTATCATTACAATTGTTCCAAGAGGACTGGCCTTTTTCTATTTTATTCATTGATTTATCCCAACATCTAGAACAGTGCTTGGTGTTCAGGGGGCACTAAACAAATACATCAAATGCCTCCTATCCACTGCACTTTACCCACTGGGGACTTGGAAGGTCAGGAGAGGCCCTTACTGTGCCAGACATTATAGTAAGCAATGTCACATAATCTCATTTAACTATCATAAATATTCTTTGTGGTAACTTTCAACATCCCCATTTCACAGATGAGGAAATAGATGCATTGAGAAGTTAAGGTTTTCATGTAAGATAACAGAGGTAATAAATTGCAAGGTTAGAATAAATGCCTTGAAGTCTGTCTGTCTGCAAAGTCTAGGCTCTTAACAACACCCTAAGTTGCCTGCCTTCACCCAAAAGTATTGTAACTAGAAGGAACATTAATTACTCTTCCTCTATCTCCACACTGTATATGAATATTCAGACTGACTGAGATAAAATTACTTGCAAAAAGAAATCTTTGCAAGTCAGTGCCACAATTAAGTCACGACCTAGTACCATTAATCTGTTTTGGTTTTTAGAAGGGTGGCATTCTCCTACCTTGAAACATCAAAACTCATCTAATGAGAAGAGACCTTGTTCAAGGGTAATGTGTAGCTTGCAGTTAGAACAGGTGAGAGGCTTGACAGTAGCAAGACCGACTGCTGGTTTACAGCAATGTGAATGTCTGGTGCTTGGACTTTCCAGGAAGCAGGCCAGTGCCATATTTCTGGCTGGCTGTCTCTGACTTGAATTTAGGGTCCTCCAAGATACTGGAGCACTACCTCCCAGAACCTCACGTAGTCCATTCATCAATATATCCAACAAATATATATATGGTGTTTCAAATATGTGGTAGGCACTGATCTCAGATTTGGATATATGGAGATAAAGAAAACAAAGTTTCTGACCTTAGAAAATTCACAATCTTATTGTATGTGTAGGTGCATGTCTGCATATACATCTTAAAATATCATTGCAAGTTCTTTGTGTAGTATGAAATTGTAAGGGAAAGGACATATCTTTCATTCTCATCTAGGTTCATGACTAGAATCTTACCTCAAGTATCAAGTGGTTAGTGTTCATTCTTGCCCATATATATATACTAGTATGTACTTTTACTATTCACATTTTACAGAGAAAGAAACTGAGTTTCAGAGACCTCCAGGTGACTGGATTAGCTTCTCACAGCAAATGGTGACAATTCAAGGTTGAAAGAATCTCTGGTCTCTTTGATACCAAAGACAAAGTTCTAATCCACCACGGAAGAAAAGGTTCAGGAAAAGGTTCACAGAAGAACTCACGAGATATGTCTGTGGTCCTACTTTTAGACGTGCATTTTTTTGTGGAGATTGCTTCCTCACCTGAGCCTCAGTTTAACATGAACTGTTCAAGCGTAACAACAAATTAGGTGCATGAATTTCTCTTTACTTTTTCAGAAGCCAGTTTTATTCCATTTAGCAAACATAAATAGTGATTTCCTCTGCCACATTGCTCAACTATAGCTTATTAATGGCTTCCACTTTTCCTTGCTTGTGCCTTAAGGGTCCTCAGTAATTACCCAACAGCTGTTTAGACACATAGCCCCAGAGGCTGGTATGGTCTCCTATTTGCTACATTAGGAAAATTCTATGGTACAGCAACATGAGTGACAGCATCAATATACCTTCATAAAATGATGAGGTTCTATACAGCTAGGGTTTCCCCTTCCTTCTAAAATAACTTTACTTTTTCATGTCATTTAGAACCCCCAAAAAAGGATTACTACTTCTGATGCACCATCTGAAGACTATCCTGGATACTTTTATATTAATTAGAAACTGAAATGCTTGACATGCAAACGCTGTGGTAGCCGTCTCTCCCCAGGCAGGCCTGTTGTTATATTCATGAAGTGCTTCCTGAAAGCTTCTTAGACTTGCAGAGGCTGGGAAGGGAATTGTTTGGTCTGTCCATCACTGCAATTCCTCCTATTTGTTATTTGTATTATTCCTTAAGGCCTTCACTCCCTACAGATTCTGTGACAGTATTGATATTACAATGTACATAGCATATATTTTTCAAGAGTCTGAGGGTACATGTACAAAGTCTATTTCAATTCCTCTCAACAGGCACTGAAATGCTATAAACTAAACAAAATGTCCTTACCACAGCTTGCATAATGTAGAAAAGTATATCATCTGCAAGGAAAAGCTGCAGATTCTATTTTGCTTTCAGTATTTTGAACACCACACCTGCCCTGCTATATTCAGGGCTAGATCTTTGCACAGGGAGTTAGTGGCCACCTACATGGTATGTTTTGAAACATACAGAAATGGACATCTTGCTCAACACATACCCCCATTAGGTACCAAATGCTCCACTTTCCTATCTTCAAATTCTAGCCAAGTATGAATGGTTAACATTTCAAGAAAATGATGGTATTGTCCAAAAACAATTCCTACAAAACCTATTTCTTCTCTAATTAATATATTAGAAGGGTTTAGGGTAAGCTTCTCCAACCAGCAACCTGTAGGCCGCAGGAGGCCCAGGACAGCTTTGAATGCAGCCCAACACAAATTTGTAAACTTTCTTAAAACACTATGAGTTTTTTTTCTTTTGTTTTGTTTTGTTTTTGCGATTTTTTTTGTTGTTGTTAGTATATTCTCTGTGTGGCCCAAGGCGATTCTTCTTCCAATGTGGTCAAGGGAAGCCAAAAGATTGGGAATCCCTTGTTTAGGGCATCAAGTAGTAAATCCTGAACCTCTGGGTTCTGAAACAATGAGAATTTTGATCAGGGAAATTTCTGTATCAGAGAGTAAGGTCCAACCTAATGGTAGCTTATAAGGAATAAGATGAGGACACTAGCACTGAAGGTGTAGATCCAGGACTTCCCAACTTGAGACAGAATAAAACTTCTCTAGAGATGTTGTAAAATCATTGATTCTTAGACTCTACCCCCAGTGATTCTCATTTATTTGACCTGGCAAGACATCCAGAAAGCCTAATTTTTAACAAACACACAGATGATTCTGATAAATCATTAGGATGCATGGAGCACTATTTGAGAAATGATGCCCAGTAATAATAAAACAAGATACAGGTGATAGAGGCCAGAGAAGAAAACATGTCCAAGACATCTTCATCTGCTTCGCAGTGTTTCCCAGGGCTATTGTGCTCTTTGACTTAAACCGTTCATCATGTCCTTTTGCTCATTGAAACACCATCCACATACTATACATATTTTTTCTGCCTCCAAAGAAATTATTTTCTCTAGAAAATCACCTTGTTCCTTCCAACTTTGCTGCTTGTTCTCACATCTCTGTCTTTTAGATTCATGAGTTTTGAGAGGATTCTTGGTTCTTCTGGGAAATTAACCTTCGGACTCTCCTTTGTGCTTCTTAGACATTGGTTTTTGTTTGAGCTTCAGCTCTGTTCCCTCTGTTTTCAGTTTATTGACCTCCTCTCCATGATCTCTGGTAACAAACTGCCTATTCTAACCTGACCCTATGGAACCTTTAAATTGGAGACTGAAGTCTAAGTTATCTCTTTAGATAAATAGAAAAAATTAGAGAAAATGCAAAAACACATGTTTGGCATTGTACTGGTTTAGAATTGGCTAATTCTGTTTGGGTTGGACTAATTTCACAATTACTTGCATGCCTTTAGGATACATGACAATTAATGTAGTAAAGGTAATTTCAATTCATTCTGGGTTGCAGAAAAATGTGAATCTGGAACTTTCAAATGCATATGCATAATTCACATATGAATCATCCAGAATTCACAATCTATGTGTGTCACAGTATGCACTACATCCACTTATTGATTCTACTGCAATTTTCTGTATCCCAAATACAATTTTGAGCCTAAAGATTTAAGAATATTTTTATTACTTTAACTTTTCTTATTTTAGTTGGCTGAAAATACCTAGAACCTATTTCCCAATAGCTGAAACCCTGCTTTCTGATTCTATGCATCTGAATCTCAATGGCACCATCTCTAGGAAAATTGTTACTTAAATATTTCAAATACAATCTTTATAAAGCTCCTACTATGGTCAGGCACTTGCTCAGGGGCTAGGAACATAATGCTGAACAAACAGATCCTCTAGGAGCTTACAGTCTATTATGGCAGACAGACGACAAATGCACAATTAAACAAACCAATTATTTAAATCATTTATGAATGCTAAAAGGAATATTAAAATTTATTGCAGAAAACCTTCTGCATTTTCCAAACAGAATGCGTAACTTTCCTTCTCCCTCTTACAAAAGAAAATAATTATAAGACAAACTAAGGAACAAACAGCATGCTTCTCTCTTCAAAGAAACTTGGCTAAGCCAAGTAATTTTCTGCTATAGCAGAAAATATTTATCCCAAATCTCTAACTTAAAAATAAACTTTTGAGAATTCAAAGTTTAAAGCGTGTGTGTGTGTGTGTGTGTGTGTGTGTGTGTGTGTGTGTGTGGCGTGGCGGGGGCGGGTGGGTAGAAGGATAGGCATTGGGTTTTTTTCTCTACATTGATGATTTAAAAAAAAAATTCTTCTCCAACTTTGGCTCCAGAATTACCATGTGGAACCAAAGGCAAAGCCCTTGATTCGCTTGAAAAATTTAGCAGGAAAGTATCTGTAGTTAATTTTGGGTTACACAATGTCCTTCACTGTCTGGGCATAGAAAAGCTAGCTAGCTCATCTCATCCAGAAACTCTGCCATGAGTTTAAAAACCAAAGCACATACTTTGATATTCACTCTGAACCAAGATAAAGCTTTAGGTTGACATAATAAAAGATGGAGTTAACATTCCTAAAAAAAAAAAAACAAAAACTATGAAGCTGTAGGATATATTTCAGTCTTATTTTGCAATAAAAATGACCTAATGCTATCTATCACCTTCTTTGCAGAACAATACTTCTTAATAAAAGGCATAGAGATATTTATCCTTCAAATTAAAAAAAATCATGTAATTTTTGGTTCTTTCACATGTATGCTTTCAGAAGAGAAAAAACAAATCATGTTAAACTTTACAGTATCAAATGTGATAAACTAAAAGCATAATTAACTTGTTCTCTTAACATAATATGGTTGTTTTGCTAGATCCCAGTATACTACTTTTTCCACAGGCCACGTTTTTCCTCAGTATGCACAAATGAAAAAGAGATTAAAGAATTTGTGTGACCTACAATAAGGTCAGCTTCTAATTATTATGCTAATTCCATGTACTAGATTTAATAGATCTACTACTTTTCTACCAGTTAATAAAATAGACTCTAAAACACTATCTACTATCTAAGAAGGGTGCCCTCTCATACCTTAAAATACTCTGTTTGAATAGCTGTGAAGGATAGTAAAATGTCTTACTATTCTGTTATTGATCCTGAATTTTAAACAGATAAATGCCAACCAGAATTAACTTATTTCATGCAGCAACATCTCAACTCTTTATGTTTTATTTTTGAAAGAGCCATTTTTCTGAAATTCCCCTACTAGATAAATAATCTGCCGAATCAAATAACTGATCTATTGGCAATCCCCTCAACTGACCAAATAGGCTACAATGAGTTAATCACGCAAAATGCTCACCACTTGAAGTCAGAAATCCAAATTTTGTGCTCTCTTCAACCGACTCTGCAAAGTATTTGAGCTTGTGACTTATTTGAGAAAGTAACAATTTATTAACAACACAGCGTATAAAATGGTAGGTTTTGCTGTGGTTTTGGAGGTCAGTTTATCAAAGTGAGGCCCTTCTCTAATCATATGCAAGAATTGAATCAACTAAAAAACACATGTTTGGATGGATCATATAATTTAAAATCTGGATTATGCAGTGTAGAACTGTGAAAAAAAGGTGAAAACCTGCTTTCTATTCTTGGTTCAATTAATTAAGTGTGTGTACCTCCCACCTTTTATAAGCATCTTCTTAAGACACCGTTGACATTCAGTAAACAACACATGTTGAAAATATGTAATATAAAATATCATAGATGATATTTTATACATCTATGAAACTGCAAAATAATCAAAGGTAACAAGCATACCTATCACCCCATACATTTTTCGAGCCTCTTTGTAACCTCTTGTTCCCTTCCACCGATTCTCCTGGTAGGAGGCCAACATTTATGTGTTTTCTGTCACTACAGATTAGTTTACAATTTCTAGAATTTAAGTAATTGAGATAATAAAGTAAGTAGACTTTTTTGCCTGGTTTCTGTCACTCAACATAATTATTTTGAGATTCATCTATGATATGCACATCAGTTGTTCATTCGCTCTCATTGCTCAGTAGTATTTCTTGCATGTATATGCCATATTAGTCTATGCAAGTTCTGGTGGTTTCCAGTTTTTGTCTTTTACAATTAAAGCTGTCACAAACATTCAAAAACAAGTCACTACAGTGAATTTTTCTTTCATTTCTCTTAAACAATTACTGGGGAGTATAATGGCTAGATTATAGGGTAGGTATATGTTTAGCTTTTTAGAGATATATGGTAGGTATAGGTTTAACTTTTTTGAGAACCTCACAAATTATTTTCCAAATAATTATTTTCCAAAGAAGTTGTACCATTTCACATTCCCATGAATGGTATGTGAGAGTTTCAGTTCTTCCACATTTTCGCCAACACTTGGTAAGGGCATGACAATAAACAGAGTGTTTGCTTCATGGGAATAAATGATTGTATTGGGATGTTTATATGGCTGCTTCTTACTCTGAAGTTCCATCATTCAGAATAGATTATGCAGGTAAAAAAATAGTCAACAGCTTTAAATACCAATTGTAATTGTTACAATATTTTAGAACTACTAACCCAGTATTCTGGGTCAAACCAGGTAGACAGTATACATTAGTTCCAAGTTCCAGAGCATAAAATAATGATGATGATGATGATGATGATGATGATGATGATGATGATGTGTGTGTGTGTGTGTGTGTGTGTGTGGTGAAGCTCATTTAAAAAACTTTATTGATTCTAGGATTAGAGAACACACGCATGGCGTGGTGAGAGTATATAAAAGAGAAATCCAGTGAAAAATAACTCATTTTGCTTTTAAGTAGCTTTACTTGAATGAAATTTGCTTTATTACCATATACTTCTTCATTCTTCAAAAGCAATTGGGATGCTTTACTCATTTATGAACTTGTGCTTTTATTCTAAAGATTTAAAAAATTTATAAATTGAAATATAAAGAATTTACACAATTTCTTTCATTTTTACAGACTTAGTCAAGTAAACTGCACTTTTCTTTTTCTGATGATGCATCTTAATTGCATATTATCAACATAGTTTGCTATTCAGCAGGGACAATTTCATAATTGCTATCTTCAGAGAAGTAAAATAATAGAGGGCTTCTTCTATTAACATTTAGTAAAGTGTTACAAATAGCACTTGGTGAATGAAGGGCTTCAAATTATTAGAAGGACATAATATTGGTTACACATGTTCACAGAATAAGAAAGATATTTTTAGTTCCTTTCAGTATATCAATTTCTGTGAAATAAATAGCATTCTGCAAGTAATGATATGTTACTGGGCAAGTAAAGCTATGTTGTTAATTTATAATGACCAGGATAGAATGTAATATAAATGGGATGAGCAAAGGAAATTCGTTGGTTCACTGCTGCATCAAATCTGAACTCTGAGTTTTCTCCTTATATCCATCCTTTAATGCTCAGCTCAAAATAGATCTCTAAGAAACGTTCTCTATTGTTTCCCTATTACAAAGTATATTTTCCTTCTTTAACATACTGTATCCCTTCTTATCTTTACCACCTATATGTTTCTGTTTTTACCCCTGGCTTTATATTCCTAAGTATTATTGCATCTTTGTATCTATTCTAACTGCATTAAAAGTTCCCAGAGTTTTGGAGCCATAGTCTGAAGTTGGTTAAGCCCCAGTGACAAAGTTTACTAGCATCTTTCTCATTACTTACATTTGTATAATGCTTTATGTATTTCAGAAAATTTTCACATTTGATATTGTCTATGGCATAACAAAATGCCTTAAACCAAGTAAGAATTCTATACATCACTCATCAATGATGGTTTCTCTTGGGTTGTCTTTGTGTAATAAGATGCTTTTTAGAAACAATGGGAGCTGTAAAGTATTTCGAATGGTATTTCAATTCTAGCAGTGTCTAATGTCTCAACGTCTCCTTTCTTTTTCAACAAAGCCTCCATTTTACTGCTTTCCAGGGTCACACTTGATTATCCATTCAGAGCCTCAGTGGCATTTTCACAGATCATACACTATATGATATGTGGGACAATAAAATAAAATAGTGAAATAAGAGTGATTATCTCAAGGTCTCCTTACTTAATCAGTGTTCTTTTTTTCAAGCTTAAGGGAATGGCTCAAAGAGTGAAAAATATAGTCAACATGTGAAAAATTTTTGTTTGCTTCTTTACAGTCTACAAGCTTATTAAATCATTACTGCAATATATTCTCCAGCCAAATATTGGTATCCATAAGTTATATGAAAGGAATAATTGCATATCATGCAGCAGGAAGAAGAAAATGCATTGATTATGGGATTTAAGAAGAAATACTGCTCTGTAACTATCTGTACAATTGGTACAATAGGTTGTGTTTTGCTTTAAACTGGACAGTTGTGCTGTGATATCAATATTTCTTCTCTTGGAGTAGCTTAGTACAACCAGCGGCAAACAGTCTCCTCAATTACTTCAATGTGTCATTCAAATATCATCATTTTGGCGGGCATTCTGATGTGTAAAAGTTTGGAACGCATGGATAGCATTAACAGCATAGGGATTCCTCCTCCTCCTGGTTACAGAGCATGTGTATCAGTTTTGTGCCTTAGAGATACAGCATTATGGAATAGGAATTTCAGGTGGGAATTTCATAATCAAAGGTTATGATTATGGGGTGAGAGAAATGAAGGAGGAGGTAAATAGAGGAAAGGTCAGATTCAAACCCAGATGCATTGTGATATACAAAAAGCATAGGCTGTTTTTCAGTGTCGAAATAAAAATCGCTGAGGATGGTGCTGGTCAGGGGATACAGGCCCTCCAGGTGATGAAGTTTATGGGATTTGTGGGAACTGGAGAGAAGAAAATCTACGCAGGAGAAATGGGAGGGGAGGAGTGGTGGCCATCAGGAAATTGAGTGTAGCCAGCTGGTCTGAAGAAAGAGTTTACTCAAAGAAATAACAAACAATGCATTTGGGGATTTAAGCTCTGAGCATGTAGAAGGCAAGGCTCAGTCTTACTTTAGTTCGACCCCGGTGACAGGCATGGGACCTGGAACATGGTGGAGCTCAGTTTATTAAGTGAGGTAGCAAAAAACAGTTGAAAAAACTCGGCAGGATTAGGGAGACTGAGCTTTATCTTTTTAAGTCTTTGAAAAGTCCCAGAGAGGTTTTGGAGTAGAATATAATTTTTCCTGAAATACTCATTGCAATAGAAATAAATAGCAATATCAAAAATACAAACAGAAACTATCTTTTTGTATAACATTTTAAACTTTACAAGATGCTTCTATAATCACTATTTATTATCCTCACTTGGAGATACAGCATAACTATTAACTAACCACTGAACTATTTATTGCTAATAAAGTAGACAGTATAGCTAAGCAAGTTTCAAAACAAATTATTTTGGGTGACACATATCACTTGAATAAAATACTATATAATATTCTAATAATGATTTTTAAAAGGTCCTTTTTATTCCCATCCATCATTAAATTTGTCATAATCACATCCCAGATTATAAACAATGTAAATTAATATGGTAACCCTCATATATATGTAGAGATCTGAGACAAAAATTGTGATTTTTTTACAGAAATGCATGTTGGCTTTTCCACAGCTACTCAAAATAAATAAATAAATAAATAAAAATAGAAATAAAAATAAAAATAAAAAAAGATAAATCCAAAAACAACAACAAAAAAAACGGAATTAATCAGACCTCAAATTTAGAATAGTAATCTCCAAAAAGGCTACTGCTAGCATAATTTTCAAGGCTAATCCAAAAGGAGAACACAACATGAACCAGTAATTCCAACACATAATTTTTGTTATAGACAAAATAAATTTTAGGAGTAGTTTTATACATGTATAGTCCATATTGTCACACTGTATTCAATTATTTTTAATCCTAGCTGCATATATTTATCTAGGGAAAATATGAATCTTAAGAGCGTTGCACTATGTATCTAATGAATAAATACAGGTCTTTTCTCACTCTGCTATATTCCTAAAGATTAGTTCAAGGTGAAAAAGCATCATACATGTTCCAAAAGTTTGCCATAAAATCAGTAAGAAGCTGTTCACATTTATATATTAACAAAGTAATCATTTATCATTAAAAAAAAACTAGTGAAAACTTAACAAGTGCTCTTCCATATATTTAATGCTATTTATTTTTATTATTTTGCTGAGATATAGGTATGGCTTTCTGTTTTTATTGTAACGTAAACAATATTAAGTATAACTTTCTTTTAAAAAATAATTTTAGATTTACAGAAGAGCTGCAGTGTTAGTACAGACAGTTACCATGTATGTTCTTCACCCAGTTTGTCCTAATGCTAATCTGTTACATTACCATAGGATAGTTATTAAAAGAAACTAACATGGATTCAATATTATTCACCAAATTACAGACTTTATGTGGACTTCACCAGTTTTTCCATGAATCTTCTTATTCTGTACCTGGATCCAATTTAGGATCGTACCTCACATTTAGTTGTCCTGTCTCCCTAATTCCCTTGGTGGGAGCACTAAGGAAACACTGACTCTTTTAAAGAGTATAGATCAGTTATTTTGTAGAATGTGCTGCTGTTTAGGTTTGTCTGATATTTTCTCATTATTAGATTGAGGTTATGCATTTATTTAAAGAATATTCCAGAAGCAGTAAGTCCTTCTCAGAGCATGATGTCTGGAGGTAAATGATATTGCTTGGTGATCTTTGATCACTTGGTTTAGTTGGTGTCCGCTGTGTTACTCCACTGTAAAAGTTACTATGTATCACTTTAGAGTTAATAAATACCATTGGAAAGACACTTTAAGATTATGTAAATATCTTTTCTCTTCTTAAATTTTTACCCACTAATTTTAGCATGTATCTGTGGAGCTTATCTGCTTTAATGGTATCTTTTTTGTAATTCAAAATGTGTAACTTACATAAATCTTTAAAAACATGACTTCTACAAAGCTTGTATCTATTTATTTTCTTCTTCTGGTTTCCTGACAATGCAAACAAATGTTAGAGAATTTATCTTGAGAACAACATTTCCCAAGTTGCTATAGAAACCAAGTAATGAAGAAAAGACTAATAACTTTTCTATTCTATATAGTATATAAGAAATTTAAAAAATTATTTTAGTGTTTAATCTGTTTGGCTATTTTCACAGAAAATACATTTTTTTTCTGTGTTGATAGCTAAAATTCAGATTTTCCAGTAGCTGAATATGGCAAAATTATATGATATAATTTTATATACTTCTTGATTTATTTTATATTATCAATATCATGTTCAAATCATTTTTCTGATAATTATAAGTGATACATATACATTACACCAAATTTATTTAATATTCATCCAGTCAGATAAATCAATTTTTGCTTATTGCATGCACTTTTTATAACTAAATATATACTATTGATAGGAAATGGTTGGAGTGTAATTTGTAGTATAAGAAAGCATGCTGGCCTTGAGGAAAAGCTTTTTTGTATTTAAATGTAATGACACATTTTAAGTACAACAGTAAAGAATTAATTATTGAAGTAGAGATTTGTAAATTCAGCAGTAAATTTTAACCATCAATATATATTTTGCTATTTTGTTAAGCTAACATAATTTAAGCTTCTAGTAAGTATATAATAGTTGTAACTGCACATAAAACTTTAGAGAACAATGGAAATTTTCCATCAGTGTTTATGATAGGGACAAACCCAAAAAGAAAATAGAATGAGCTTATTACGATTTAAAATTACCTTTCTGTATCTTCTATTGTCATTACATTTTATTTGATCTTTATTAGTTTTCAACTTTTAAATAAACTTTTTAAATATTCAACTTGGTACCTAACCTAATGTAAAAACTACATGTAAAAATCAATGAGAACAAATTTATGGTGACCCATAATATTTAACGATTGCTAAATTGATTCTGAAAATATGTAACCATAATTTGCTATAATACCATTAATCTCTGTTGACTATTTACAGCATTTCATAGGAACTTAAATAATTTGATTTTTTACACAGCAATTCAAAATTTTCTTACTGGCTTCTTCATTATGTATCATCAGCTTTCAGCTATACCAATGTTAAAAAAAAAAAGCCACAAATCACAGTTAGTCCAGGGAAAATTTCTTGTGAATTGTTTTTGTTTGTTTTTTAAAGTGGAGTGTAATTGCTAAAGTTAGTCTAAAACCATGATTTCATTCAAATGTGGCTATGCTTTATTCTACAGAGAAAACTTGCCTTGGTCATAAAATTTATGTGGTCAAGAGGTAACACATGCTTGATGAGCTTGATTTGCAATTTTAAGTTGTGGTTAAATCCCTAGGGAAGCACAGAATTCTTTATAGAGGTCTTAGAACAACAAGGCTGGAAATAGTGTTACAATCATCCACTCTGATGTTATGGTCCTCCACCCCCATTTCAGTTTTCTTATGAGTAAAATGTGAGTATCAATATTTTGCTTAGCAAGGTTTAAAAAAAAGAGGCTAAATGAAGACAAAATGATGTTCAGTTGAATTTCCCAGCTCTGTTATAGATAAAATATTATACACATTTTATGATACTTAAAGAAAACTGATTATTTTGAAATTTATTAAATATATTTTAAATGGCAACATTCAGTGAAACTTTTCCATGAGGTCCCTGCAATGGGAGATCTCTTATGAAACATTAGTTATTAAATCAAACATGCTTTTGTGTGCACCACTATGCATTTATAATTCAAACATATCTTTACATTTGCAAAACACTATATTGAGATCACATCTAATGTTATTCAACCATCATTTTGTTCTAGCTTACTAAACTGGAAAATAAACTGTTTACTTAACTGGTATTTATTTAACCTGAACATATCTGCATATATTACAAAGCAGACAATAACAGTGGGCAATGTGATATTTGAAAGGAGTGGAGAAAATGAAGACGGTGGCAATAATTAAAACTAAAAGTAGTTTAGAGAAGATGCCAGCTCTCAGATTTGCTTATTTATCTCTAAGGATATATGTGTAAAAATGTATTTCTATTTTAGCCCAAAAATTATCTAGCACAATTTTAATTACAATTTATTATGTGAGAAATTATGATGCCTTTGATACTATTTAAAAAGACATGTTTAGATCTAATTATTTTTTCTACCAATACTAGCAAAAAGTGCTTATTTGCTAAATTATATATGTATTTGAATGAAAATAATATGAAGCCAGAGTCATTAAAGTTATAATTTACAGCAATGCCTACAGTACAGTATTTAAATTGCTTAATTTTTTCCTTTCAGGTAGAAACAAATGTAAAAACCCAATGATTCCCCCATTCTATGCAGAATACAAGAGAAAGGTAATCTTCAGTACTGCTCATAAAAGATGTTTACATTTAGCAGTGTAGGAATCATGGCTGGGTGTGCAAGATTATTAGGATGCTTCAGGGTGGTTGCTTTATTTTGTTTTATTTTGCAGGAAATTATGTAACCAGCAAACAGACAGAAAAAGTAATTTGTTGGGAATATACTAGCATATGAAAAAAAGGACCCATTCACTAATTCATCCATCTATCTAGCCATTCAGCACTGATTAAACACTTTTTATTTATCAGGGTCTATTTTACTTAGTAGGAAAACAATGACATGTAAGACATAGACTACCATCTTCAAAAGCTTCCAACTACACCATGGAATACTATGCAGCCATAAAAAAGGATGACTTCATGTCCTTTGCAGGGACACGGATGAAGCTGGAAACCATCATTCTCATCAAACTCATCACCCGCCTGTCAGGGGGTGGGGTGCTGGGGGAGGCATAGCATAATGAGAAATACCTAATGTAGGTAACTGGTTGATGGGTGCAGCAAACCACCATGGCACGTGTATACCTATGTAACAAACCTGCACATTCTGCACATGTACCCCAGAACTTAAAGTATAATAAAAAAAAGGAAAGTAACTCATTAAAATAATGTGTAATAACAGCCTTAGGAAAAGTGTTTACAAGGTATCATGGCATTTACAGAAGAGTATGGAACTCTTGGTGATATTGCCTGGAAGGGTAAAGTTAGAATGAAAGAAAAGTCATTCTCGTTAGATAACAGAGCCTAAATAAGGGCATAAGAAACATAAGTTAAAAACAAACTAACAAACAAAAACTCCAAGTAGTCTGGACATCAGAAGCATGGAACAGAAGTGGAGCACGGACAGTAGAGGAAAGCACAACCAATGACTCAGGCAGGCAGAAACCAAATCAAGGAGGCCTTCTCTCCATTCATTCTTAGGCCGTGGAGACCTGGGAGTGATTTTTAGACAGGAATAGCATAATCTCATTGGAAGCTTACAGTATTAAGTATGGAAAATAGAAAGGAAGCAAATAGGAAACAGAGAGGTGAGTTGAGAGGCTACTGCGATAGTTCAGGTGGAAAATGGTATGTCTAAAACAGTAGTAGTGACATAGAGAAGACGGGTGACACCTGAGAGTGTTTGGGAGTAGAAAGGGCAGAACTTTGTGATCACTTACACATGGAGATGAGACAGTGGTAAAAGTTGAAAATGACTCCCAGGTTTTTAGCTTGGGTGAATAATGGTGTAGTCAACACAGGGTGAAAATAAAGGAAGAAGAATATGTTTTGGAGCAAAGATAATAAGTTTAATTTTAAATACATTTAATTTGAAATGAAAATAGACTAGCTATGGAAGAACTAAATGAAAATAGCCCAGTGATATGGTTTGGATGTGTGTCCCCTCCAAATCTCACCTTGAAATGTGACCCCTCAATGTAGGAGATGGGGCCTAGTGGGAGGTGCTTGGGTCATGAGGGCAGATGATCCCTCAGAAATGGCTTGGTGTTGTTCTCTGTGGCTTAAAAAGAGCCCGACACCTCTTCCCTCTCGCTCCTGCTCTCACCATGTGGCACACTGGCTCCCCCTGCCTTCTGCCATGAGAAAAACCTTTCTGAGGCCTCACCAGAAGCCAAGCAGATGCTGGCATCATGCTTCCTGTACAGCCTGCTGAAGTGTGAGCCAAATAAATCTCTTTACTTTATAAATTACCCAGTCTCAGGTATTGACTTACAGCAAGACAGAAGAGACTAAGAAGCCCAGAAATTCTACAGACTATAAATGCTATTTGTGAATCAATAGATTTTAAATTAATTGGCGATACTGCTTGCGTCTAACGTGCTCCTCAAGTATTTTGGGCTGCTAGTCAATAATAGAAACATAGACAGATTTCGAGAATGACTTAATTCATTGTGTTAGACTACAACTGCTTGGAAAGCATAGTTTAAATTCATGCTGTATCAGGAAATCAACTAGACTTGGCTTGCTGTATAAATAAGCAGCACAATTAGGAAGAAAGAAGCATTTGCATTTGGCCAGTGGAGTGATGATAAACTAGAAGATTCCTTTTGGGACAACAGTGAAATATGTTAAATCAAGCTATTCCAATGCAATGTAAACAAACAATATATATCATCTCAGAAATTCAATTAAACCATGAATCATCTTGTCATTACCGTTACTCCAGTTTACTGTTAACATGGCATAAATGTATTTTAAGCTGTTAAACAGGGGCATGCTATTCTTTGAGGAATCTGAATTTTATGAACTGTCACAAGAGCAATAATAAAGATGGAGAGTATCAGCTAAGAATATCCATAATTAACAAATCAATATGTTCTAGTTATCTGCAGTGTGGTTAGCTCCATCAAGAGCAAGATAAAGGATCAAGAATGAGAATAAAGAGTGAATTAAGCAGCTTAAGATCCAGTCAAAAAGACAAAATATTCATTAATAATAAAAAAATCAGAGTCAAGTCCTGTTGCAATTTGACTCATGTAAAAGTTGAACTCATGTTCAAACGTAACCTCCAAAGTTGTAGGTGGGCCTAGTGGTAGGTGTTTGGGTCATGGGGGTGGATCCTTCACGAATAACTTGGTGCCCTCCCAGAGCTAATGATTTTACAGGATATCTTGTTTTTTAAAAGAGTCTGGGACCTCACCCTTCTCTCTCTTGCTCCCTCTCTCACCATGTGACATGCTGACTCCTCATTCACCTTCTGTCATGATTGTAAGCTTCCTGAGGCCTCACTAGAAGCAGATGCTGGCACCATGCTTGTATAACCTATAGAACCACGAGCAAAATAAACCTCTTTTATTTATAAATAACCCACCCTTAGGTATTCCTTTATAGCAATGCAAACAGACTAACACAAGTCCCGAAGAAGAAGGTTAGATAGATTAGAAGACAGATTAGTGGTTAAGAGGATAGGTTTTAGCGTAGAATGTCTGGGATTGATTTTCATTTCTCCTCCATACTAGCTATGTGAAATTGGGATGACTACTTATTCTCTTGGAGGCTCAATTTTCTTGTCTGTACAATGTAATATTTGTGTCCACTTAACTAGTTGTTATGAAAATATAAAACGATAATACATACAAACTGCTTCAGGCAGCACCATGCATATGCTAACCATTCAGTAAATGTTAGCTCTAATGATAACAGTAATTGGTATTATTATTATAAAAATCAAGAACCAAATCATCAGAATATATATAAGCACTAAAGAGTTCCAAAGAAAGGAAAGGTCAATTGGTCCTGAGCTCTTTGTTGAGGCTTGAAAAGCCAGATAAGCTTTCTGAAGTAAAGAGAAAATAAGCTATTTTAAGTCTCTGTTACAATTCATTCATTCATTCAGCATTCATTCATTTATTTTAAAATTACACATAAAACATTGATTAATCATTTGATGGCAGGTGCTCAAGGCCATGAAGGTGGTAAGTGTGAATAAAATAAAGGTTTGTTTTTGAGAACAGTGAGATATAAAGTATATGGGCATTCACAGATAACAGGGCAGAGGGTAGATCTACCATTGTTCTCATCCTACTCCTTCTTTGCTGCCAAGTAAGTATGAACTATATAAGCCACAAAGGGGCATGACAGCTTGTGCATATCCTTCAGTCTTTACTCTTTTGAAACATTATTGTTAAAAATCTCTGCCTTTAGAAATAGTAAATTATAGGCAAAGAAAAACACGGAGAGCAGCCAATTTGGGACATTCCCAAAGTGTTTTTTGTTCTAGCTCTGTGAAGAGTCTCTGGTCAGATTTTAATGAGTTTTCAATGGCCAACATAATTGATATTCTCTTCCAGAATTTAACTTTGGCATGTCTGTGTGCAGGCTATTGAAAGACTCTGGGATAAGTCAGTGGTATTTTAACGTGAGGATACAAATTTCTTAAGTTGGCTTTCCTATTTCTTGACACTGTCTAAGAAACTCTACTGTATTTCAATCTCTTTTGCCAACTAGAGGGATATTTTTGTTAGCACTCAGTTTAAAAAGCCTACCATTTTGACTAAATTTACTGGCCTAATTCAGTTACACAGCTAATCAATTTAGTTAATTCAGTTGGTTTGTGGACCTTTCATTGAATTAATTGATTTTTTTTTTACCTCAACTGGCTGAGAGACTAGACTGGACTTCTGGGAATGTATTCTCTAAGCACATATAAAAGACAATTGTTTTGTGTTAAACCCTAGTATGTAGGCCATGACAATTTTCATTAAAGAAGTCCAGATATAAAACAAAATTGTAAATGGATATTCCCTTTCTCAGGTCAGTATTTGGAAAAGCAGGTTTCCCACCCCTCCATTTCCAAACCCATTCCTACTTCTTCGTGCATGTGGAGAGAACCACAAGAGGCATATTAGTGCTTCCTGCAGTACAAATCACCACCTACTTTTAAACGACATCTCAGAAATTATTTTAAAGTATGACAAATAGAAACATGTATTCTAGAAATCATATTTCTAAATATTAAATTTTCCTTCATTAAAAAAATTCTATCATCTTAGCATTCAAAATATATTTTTTAAAAAATATCAATTGGGTAAGGGTCTGAGATATTACAAGAATAATTTTCTTCCATCCTCCCAATAGTTAGTGACATTTATTTAGAACATTCCACTTTCTTTTCTGCCCAATGCGTCTGATTTTATCAAGTCACCATTCTAAACTAAGCACTGCATCTGGTGTTTTGTTTGGTAAGACAGATTTGTGGGGCAAGTTCACCAACACATTATGATCAAGCATTGTTTAGATTAATATAACACGAATACACAAGGCTGTATTACAATTTAAATTTTATTTCACATGCAAAAAACTTCCCCTTTACAGAATTTAGATTAATCCCATGGTTTGTTATTGACTATCTTTAGAAAGAATCCTATTATTCCAAATGACAACTTTGTAAAAATGCAGTGCAGCTATAATGGAAAGTACAAAAGTTATATTAAGATAACTCCTTTCTGAGTACGTGTATATTCATTTTACATGTTTCAACTAGAATCAACTCTTACAAGTCTGCCTTCAGCCATCTGTATCACTGACCAGCATTGGAAAAACCTCATTTTCAATTTCTCGGCACCGTTGACATTTGGACCTTTAATGACTCATTAACCCTTTACAGCCTCCTTCTCCAGATCTTTTCAATCACATATGATCATGTCGCCAAACTGAGATATTTTTG
This sequence comes from Homo sapiens, assembly GCF_000001405.40. Classification (NCBI taxonomy): domain Eukaryota; kingdom Metazoa; phylum Chordata; class Mammalia; order Primates; family Hominidae; genus Homo; species Homo sapiens. The sequence goes on from NC_000002.12 coordinate 50,678,686, forward strand.
ACTGTTCGTTGCTAGTGCAGATAATATTCTCTCCTCTTCCATTCTCCCAGCTCAGTGCCAGACTGGACTGTATATGTATGAGATGAGGATGATAAATGGGAGAGGAGAGAGAAAGCCAGGCAAGAGGTGGGGGAGTAGAGCAAGATGATTGAGCAGAGCAAATTAGAACCCATAAGTTATATTTTACTGGTTTTAGACCCTAAAGAGATAGAGCTTAGAATGACTCAAAAGGGAATTTATGAGACTATGGACTGCACAGTGAAGCATTAGAAATTCTAGGGACAGATGTACGGTCAGAGTTGGGAAGGAAGGAATTGTCTACTTGTTACAAGGTGCAGTGCCACTCTAGAGACCACAGATTGGTAGCTCTTGGGGCATGTACAGGCACATGCTTAACATGGATCGGGCTACATTGAGATTTTCTTCTTGGAAGAAGAAGATGTTACTGTCAGAAGAGTATGTGGAAAAGTAGATTCCCAAGGAGAAGATTAGTAATGGGGTAGATACTAAACAATGAGATAGATACCAAGTAGGGACTCCAGGTGATGGGATAGGTTTTGAGCATGGGGAGACATCCCTCTGGAAGGATTCTTGGAGTATGGGACAAAGGCTGAGGTCCTCCCTTATTTTGATGGGCACAATCAAGCCAGCAGACAAACAGGCTACTCAGAATCAAAGAAGAACACCAAGAAGTAATGTTGTCTGTCTTTAGCAAGGAGCAAGGAAGAGAGCATAGGCAAAGAAAAATATCTGAAAATGTTTTAGCTCTCCCAGAATCAAGATTTTAGTGTGGTTTCATTGCTTCCAAAAATTACAAACTTTCCAAACACACTAGAGTAAAGCTCACACACCACATATTAAAATCAATGAGAGATGATCTGTGATTACTCACTATTGACATGGATCATTGATGACAGTAAGACCCTGCAAAATAAATTCCCTTACTGGACTTACAAAAACCTCACAAAAATATAAAAGTAAATAAAATTATCTTTATTCTATTAATAAAGAAAATGTATATGAAGAAAATGCACTTTACAAAGTATAAGTAATTTGCCCTGAATGACATGGTTACTGTTAGAACCATGACTTGGATTCTTAAAGGTTTAATATCCTGTCCTATATGCTATGCTACCTCTAAACATCACCTCAAGAATTCAGTAGAGGCCAGGTGCAGTGGCTCACACCTGTAATCCCAGCACTTTGGGAGGCCAAGATGGGCAGATCACTTGAGCCCAGGAGTTCCAGACCAGCCTGGGAAACATGGCAAAACCTCGTCTCTACAAAAATACAAAAATTAGCTGGGCATAGTGGTGTGCGCCTGTAGTCCTAGCTTGGTGGGGGTTGGGGTGGGGGGATGTGCTAAGGTGGGAGGATTGTTTGAGCCTAGGAGGTTGAGCCTGCAGTGAGCTGTGATTGCACCTCTGCACTCTAGCCTGGGCAACAGAGCAAAGACCCTGTCTCAAAAATTGAATTTAGGAAAAACAACATTACATCTATTACTTTTTTTAAATATACAGATCACTCACTGAATATATAATTATAATATATCTGATGCCTGTATGAATTAACCTAAGTAAAAAATAACACTGTTTCTTCTGAATTTATTTTGATTTTTCTTTGAATCGAATTTATTACCCAAGCCACTCTCAAGCATCCTACAGAGACCTATGAAGGATGAGTTCTTATGTGACTTAGCTTTAAAATTAAAAAAGAAAAAAGATTTTAAAATAGCAAGCAAGCTTTTGCTTTTCTTAAGAAGTCAAGAAAATGGACTATAGATATAGGTAAAATACAGTTAAAGAGCAACATTGTTATAATGTTGATACAAAGTCAAACATATGAATAAAAAAAATGTCAATCAACTGGATCCTTTCAAATATCTCCCCAAACACCTGGAAGATGACAAATTTTTTAGATTGATAACCTTTATAATGTAACCAAGAATATTACACAGCCTTTGTGAGATAGAAATTGTTTTAATATAGGATAGAAATGAGCAGATATCACAATGGTTTGCCACAAGTAAACGAATTTCCTTCTTTGGATAACTTTAAGTAAAGCTAAGTTCAAGTGAAAAAAAAAAAAGCTAAGCATGCAGTGGAAAAAAAGGATAATCTGTTTGGATTCAAGGTTATGCTATTCAATTCTCAAATCACTGAGCAGCATTTACAGTAAAATGACACTCTCATTTATCTCCCAGGCAAGCATTGAGACCTGCCTTAAGATGCAGGAGGTTAGTAGACTTCATAGCACTTAATTTTCTAACACTACAATAATAATAGTTAACTTAGTAAAAAAAAAATTCTGTGTCTTCACATAAAGTGAATCAAAATATATCTTTGCATCACTGCCTACTGTAACCTCAAGGAACTTATTCATCTACCAACAGCCAAGACATTAAAAAACAGAGAAGTTGGTCTCTCAGGATAGATACCCTATTCACTTAAGGTGGGGCAGATAATGCACAGACTCTAATGTTGGATCTGTACACTATTGGCCCCACCTTAGGTGAATTAAACCAACAACATCAACAGGGAAAAATGTGCAAAAACTGTGTTGTTCTCACTTTATCAGTCTTTCCAATGTTTAAGAAGCACAGATTATTTGCTCAGAAGACTAGACCAACTGGAAATTGAATGATCTTGATCTCTTTTAAGAAAAAACCATTTGATCTAAATCTTCAAATAAACAAAATAATTTGCAATCTGTGTCTTATGCTTCTATTTTGGGAGTCAGACCAGGCATGAGCTGAGTAGCCCATTCTGTCTTGGAGGACAGGAGCAAAAGGGACTGAAATATAAAGTCACATGTGGGCATTAAAGAACATCCTGGAGTCCCAGGCCATATAAAAGGGCTTGTAATTAGTATTTTAGTAAATACTAATGAGAATGCATGTATCAACCCACATTAGTAAATATTAATCTGAAGTAATATTCTAGGACTATTTATTAATTACTTTCAACTCTTCCCCCAAGGTCTAGTAACCCACAAAAAGCTTGAGGAAGAAAGGAAATAGAAGCTTTGCTTTGTTGAACTATTTGATACTAATAAATATACTGGGCAGCCATGCCATTTTTATAACTAATCAAAGCAAGTGGTTTGATGTTAAATCAATAATGTTTATACAAATTTGACTTATTAGATACAGTGATAGTTACCTCATGGCTGGAAATCAGCATAGTAATTAAAATTGTGTTCTGATATTTATTAGTTCTATGATCTTTGGCATGGCACTTATCTTTCTAAGCCTCATGCTGTCTCATCTATAAAACAGAAACTGATAACAAAATCCACCTATCAAGGATTCTGAGGCTCAAATGAGATGGTACAGAAAACATAAATGTGCCTGGCACAGGGTGACAGCCAATAAATGGCAGCTGTTGGCCATTAAAGACAAGGCCCATTAATTTGTAAGTTAGTGCCTACTACAAAGAGCATAGATTAGAATTCACACCTGGATTAATTAATTTTCATCTTCTATGTCCTAAAACTCATTCCTCCTTGCAAACTGGGTGAGACTATGTAGATGCCCCAGCAAATTACCCAGACGGAAGATGATGAGCAAGTAGCATCTCTTTACTTAAAAAGAATCATATTTTCTTTCCAAGAAAATCTTCATAAACCTTAGCCCATTTACATAACCAAGCCATCTCTCAATTGGTCTTGTTTGAGTTTACTATCCCATGTCTTCTTACTTTTTTAAAAGAGGTAAGAATAGGCTTTGAACACAGAATCTGGTAATAGTCTCAAAATTATGGTGCTAAATTTCCTTGGCTTATCAACATTAAATAAGGGAAAGGAAAATCTACTAGGAGCATCGTGACTTGGTTGACACACATATGAGCACGAAAGGTAGGGTAATATTTTTAACTATATTTAGCGATGTTATAGCTTGGGGTCAGTTCAGAAGCAGAAAGGGTAAAAACAAAGCGAGTAATGGTGACATGCAATATTGTCCTCATTATCAGAAGATAAAACCATCATACTCTAATGGGCTGATACAGATTGCAATTTTTAGTAGCTGATATTTCCAAGGGCCTAGCAAGACAGAGTGCAACAGTACGTGTCACATTCTAAAGTCTAGGAGGGAAACCAAAGTGATCTCAGTAACATAGGAAAAATTTTAAAGATATAGCTTATATATACATTCTTTAGTGGACTCAATAGCTGTATTAATTATGAGACATGGGGGGAATTATCTCAATACAGCCTTGCACATAACACATTTGTATGCAAGTTTTACACATACATCTATACCTATATATGCATATAGGTCTATACACAAATATTCTGTAACTACACATATACTTGTTCATTAATCAACCATTGAGGGCCTACAAAGTACAGTGAGTGAAAATATATAGAGGAAGCAACACTGAGCTGCTGTGGACACAGACCATACTTATCTTGAAGGTCTCTATCCTGCAATCCTAACTTCCCAGAGCAGACTACTAATATATTACAAAGTAATCTACTTTGTAATCTGTTAGTTTTATTGCTGACGGTATTTTAATTTTCTGCTATTTGGCATGACGAACCACAGAGGATCAGAGGCAAACTGTTGCTCTCGCATGGAAGTGGCTCCTATATGAAGACACAGTGATGATGACAAGAAGCAATTGCTCTCTTAATAAGGGAGAAGGATTTAAAATATTAGTTACAGGCCAGGCGCAGTGGCTTAAGCCTGTAATTCCAGCACTTTGGGAGGCCGAGGTGGGCGGATCACGAGGTCAGGAGATCGAGACCATCCTGGCTAACACGGTCAAACCCCGTCTCTACTAAAAATACAAAAAATTAGCCGGGCACAGTGGCGGGCTCCTGTAGTCCTAGCTACTCAGGAGGCTGAGACAGGATAATGGTGTGAACCCGGGAGGCAGACTGTGCAGTGAACCAAGATCAAGCCACTGCACTCCAGCCTGGGTGACAGAGCAAGACTCCGTCTCAAAAAAAAAAAAAAAATATATATATATATATATATGTTATAAATGGTAGATCTAGGAACTTAGAAAGTACAGTAGTTTAGTGTGAGGGCAAACAGCTTTACATACTTCAGCTGCCCCAAAGGACTGACTGTATTACAGCACAGTACAGTGACTGATGTTCACAATGATGGCTTTGGGTTATCAAAAAGAAGTTAACTCACGTTAGCAAGTTCAATTTAACAAGGTACGATGTGTGTATTATTTTCAAAATGGTAAAAGGAGCAAGAAAAGTTTTCTTGCATAAAACAGAAGGCATTAGTTATATGGAATGCTCACTTCTGTAAATACATCTTCCCTAATGGTATGAGATAGTTAGTATACATACCCATCCATCCATCTATGCATTTCATCTTTGGCAATTTTCTGTTCTTTTAGTTAAGATAGGTTACCGACTACTCCTACCACTGCAAATATCACCAAACTACAATACAGTATACTAATTACTAAACTAGATTAACACTGATGGCTAACTTTATTATTTATAATTGTAATTTCAGATTTCATATGAATGATAAAGAATTCTGTAAAATTACATTATTAACATCTTAGAGCCAGGTGGCTCATGCCTGTAATCCCAGAAGTTTGGGAGGCCAAGTCAGAGGCAGGTGGATTGCTTGAGTCTAGGAGTTCCAGACAAGCCTGGACAACAAGTTGAAACCCCGTCACTACAAAAAAATACAAAAATAGCCGGGCATGGTGGTGTATGCCTGTAGTCCCAGCTACTAGGAGGCTAAGGTGGGAAGATCTCTTGAGTCCAGGAGGTCAAAACTGCAGTAAGCTGTGATGGTGTCACTACACTGCAGCCTGGGTGACAGAGCAAGATCCTGTCTCAAAAAATGGAAAATACAATAAATTTAAAAAATAAAATTTGAGAAAAATTGAATGAAGAAATATGTAATAATGGGTGGTGGTATCTGTCTTACTGCAGGTAAGTTGTTCCTCAACTAACTCTTTCTGCCTCGAAGGTGGCCATAAATTGACACATACTGATAATCGCTAAGCAACTGCATGGATTATTTAATACCCGTCAATTGTAGATTATGACAAACATAAAGAGATAGTCTTTGCCAAGGTCCCCAGTTTAGATTGTTAAGGTAAAACCCTGAAATCTTACTTTCCCTTTCAAGTTTCCTATACTTTATTTTAGATAAAGCTAAATTGACATGTTTAGTTTTCATAAAATTGTAAGTTTCTTTGCTTACATATTACTAATACTTGAAGAGTACTGGGAATATCATCCTGTCCTTGTTAACAAAAGTGAACAGAACATGAACCAGAGAATTTGAACTTGGAGATCTAGATGATAGCTACATCATTAAGAAATAAAAGTAGTCAAATGGAATATTCAGTTGTTTTTCATAATATGACTTTCCAAACATTATTATAAATTCAATTTTGGCTTGTTTCTCTCCTAAAGAGGCATGAGCCAGTTTATATACTAAAACTACACATCTCACTTAAACAAAATTATTATTTTTATTATTATTTCAATTAACTTTCTTTCATCCTAACTTCTAAGATGCTATTTTGGTTGTTCTCTTTGATCCGCCTGTTTTTCTTTTGCTCTGTAATTGCCATCACATAGCAAGATCTAGCCCTTAGCCTTCTACAGTCTCTCTAAAAATTAAGCATATCACTAGGTGGATTTAAAGCCAACACACTCAGGAATATTCAGTAGTTTTGCATGTCACTAGTTTCCTGATCTGACCTTACTGCCATATCATCTGGATATCCCACCCTTTTCAAATGTAAGACCCAAATTACAACTATTTTTTCTCCCACAAACTAGTTTATTGACATCACCATTATCTCCATTGCTAAGGCTTGAAAACGAGTCATCTGTTTCTTTCCAGTCTTTATTTTCATTTGGATTCATCACTTTTTTCTTTGGAATCTATAATTTCTATCCCTTTACCTCTCTTCTCAATATCCTCCAATGAGTATAGGATCCCTTAAGTTCAGGCACAAATAACTTCAGCAGTCTCTAGTCTCTTCTCTCCTCAAATCCATTTTACAATTAATTTGTCTAATTTTGTTTCATCCTGTCAGTATCGTATTGAAAATACTAACTGAATAACTTGTACCATGTTCTTATTTTGAACCTAAAAGGTGATGCATCATCTTTGCATCATCAAACCCCAATGTCTCATTTGCACCTGGAAAATCATAGCAAACTGGTTTTAATGTCCCTGTTTCCAATATCATCAGAGCCTGCATACTTGTTGTAGTTTACTTTTTTTCCTACACTCAAGTTTAACCGCATCAAAAATATAGATCTTGCTTCTAAAGGTAATCTTGAAACTAGACAGGCTTTCTCTAAAGTATAATTTCAGGGGCTTGGAGCTACTTACTTCCTCTCCCTCCTGAACTGATTCTCTTTCTGCTGTCTATGGTGCCACAACTAGAAATACATTTCTCCAGGTTTAAAGCTGAACCCTCATAACTTTCCAAGTAGCCTTCTAGCAAAAAACAAACAAAGAAACAAACAAACAAAAAACTAGAGTTTTCTTTTTTTTAATATATTTAAGTTGGCTTTTAGAAACTGGATGGCAGAGTGTTTTATTTGGCAAACATAGTACATTTTTAAAAATGAAGTTATTATCCACATTTACACGTTAGGTTTCAAACAAAAACTTAGATTTCCAGTTTCTCATAAAAAACAGTTGACGTTGCAACCAGAAATTGCAGCAAATTCCTCTCACACTCCTGAGTCTTTCTAAAAGGGGCTACTTTGGAGGGAAATAATAATATTTTAGACAGTTGAAAGGGAACTATGTCACTAGATACAAGACCATGTCAGCCTCTCTTAGGAGAAAATCACCTTTCTTGTTTCAGGCCTTCTGCCCATCTGCAAAAACACTACTGCTTGTCTTCTTTAATAAATGGAAGCAATTTAAAGAAAACAATCTATAAAATGCTACATAAGACCACATTAAAACTACAAGTAAAAATTGACATCCAACAAAACCCTGCTTTCAAATACAATTTCTTAGAAAGAACCTTGATTCTGCTGTATCCACCACATCTCGAGTCTATCTCCAGGGAAAGTACAATAGCGTTAAAGGTAACGGGTAGAGACTGTTGCCAAGTCAATGAAGCAAAGACTTTCTCTCTAGATGCATGGAAATGCACGGTGATGGGTTGATTAGGTCAAGGCATCTTTTGTATTATGCATGTAAATGGGAATTAATGTCCTCAGAGTGCCAGTAGCTATTTTGTTGAATTTGGTAAAAATGAAACCCTGTGTTTAAGCTTCAATTCTCTAAAGTTTATGTTGGGAGGAAGATGCAAAACTCTTTATACTTCCATAATTAGGTATTCCTTTGCTGACTTATCAATTGCCTCAACTTAGGACTCAAAGTGCTTAGCGTCAAATTGAAAGAGAACACATCTTTTATTAGAATTGCTTTTGGTTTGTTTCCTCTGATAACAAGGTAATATCTGCAAACCAGTGAATATTGACACTATTTACAACCAAATTATAGGAAAAAGTCAGTAGGGTATTTAAAGATGGGATTAGTAATACCTCATTTACCTAGGCATTTCCTGGGAAGGAGCAATTCTGGATAACTGAATTTTCTCTGTACCTGAAGCTTATGCCCATTTAAACCTAAATATTAGATAGAAATCTTCATAAAATATATTAACTGCTACATTCCTGTCTTCCTACATAGATACTTCTAAACATAATACTATCTTTTTTTTCTCCTGATGATTCAGGGGTCATCTCTGTGAGCATTCATTACTGTACCATGTGGTTATATATTTCTATGCATGCTTTATCATTTTTTTCTCTCCTCCCTCAACGTCAGGCTTTCAGCTGTCACTTTGGCTGTCACTGTGTCTCTTCTCAGCTTCCCCTTTGCTGTTTCTAATCTGTCGTGGGCTGGGAAACCAGATAACCAAGTTTATTAAGAATGACATGCTGAATAAAAGTCAGTAAGACTCAGAGTGGGCACTAAGAAATAAAATGCATGACTTTAATGTGCAGTTTTTGTGAAAACTATTTTGAATATGCAGAGGCTTTTTAAATTTAATTTTAGATTGGGCAACCGCGTTAGGGTTGAGGTTGTTGTGAGAATTTGTAGAATATGTCCCCATTCAGTTTCAAAGTATTTCTCTGCAGGAGACCAAGGCAGTTTTGACAAACACGGGCAAGAGAAGCTAAGTTTTCCCTTTGGAAGCAGAGGAATCTGGTAGGGAAACACTCAAGGACACTCATGTGAGGCTTTAGGCAACTGTGGAGATCAAACTCTTCTCTCTGATCACCAGATATCCTCTTCTTCATATCGAGATGGAGGGCATTGCCTGAAAGAACGAAAATTTAGCACTAATAGGTAAAATGTATGGATTCCTGTTAGAATCTCTCAGAATTTTACCTTCTCCTTTATAGTAGAATGTTGGCTAGGTGAGATAGAGGTAATCTGGGAAGGGAAAAGTCCAGAAGTCACTGTTTTTCCCATGTATTAATCTACCCACTTCACTTCCATCTCTTTCTGGACAATGCACAAATCAGAACCCTAACCCAACGTTTCTTTTCCTGAGACTAATGCTGTCCCTGAGGATAGTCTATGGGGTCCCCAAGTGCTTGTGGCATCCTGGGCCTCCCCATATCAATACATCACCACCACCTGTTGTTAAAACATAGGCTCATGTATTCACTTGCTTTTATTCGAATGACTTAATCTTCATGGCCTAGCAACAAATAGAACCCTCCCTACAGAGCCCTCCTTATATACCTTATTATTGCATACTCACTCTTTTTATGTCCTCTCTCAGTGCTTCTCTCAGTGCTCATTTTAAAAGAATTTCACCTCTCTAAAACAGAGTGGTGCAGGACTGGGTGGGTAGAAGAAATTGATTTGTTTTGCCTGCCCCTGTAGCCACAGAATCCAGTTACAGCCAGGTTTTTGCTGCAATCAGTAAGGATTTCTCATGTTCTAACAAAGATGAAAGCAATAGGAGATAGCATCCGTTATCTTCTCAGGGACTTTCTTTTCAGTATGACAATGGGCATTTTTTGTTGTTGTTTTTGTTTAAAGCCAACTTACATGCTGTACAGCAAGGGCCTCCATCTTCCAAACACTCTAAAGAGTAAAATTAGTCTGAAATCCAGTAGAAGAATACTGATTATACCATCAGTCCAAAATCTTCAGGGCCACCAGAAAGTGCCATGGGCTTGCGGCTGCTAATCACTTAGTTTGGTGCTTTCTAACAAGGTGTTGTCTTTCAGGTTTTTTGTTGCATCACACTAAGCTATGCTTGCTTCCTCCGAACACATTTAAGTGGATTCTTTTTCCAATCTGGAGACTTATAAAAATAAATATACATACCCCTTTACTACTAATAGTAGGGTTTTCTGCAATTGGATCTAAGTTCTGGGAGCATGAGTCAGGGGAATCAATTTATTCTATTTTAGGATATGCATTGAGATCCACCTCAAAACCTTTTAAATCAAGATTCAATTAAATTTAATATATGTAAGTTTGTTATATTAAAAAAACAAATTGAAACAAAATATCACTGGAGAGACACAAGAAAACTGTACAGTCCTGTGGTCCTTATTTTATCTCTTCTTTCAGAAATGTTGGAAGCCAAACTAAAATTACAGGCTTGAAAAGAAAACCAGTTTTAGAATTCCATCGCCCTCAAAGATTTCAACAATCAAAACAAAACCAGTTTTATAATTCCATCACCCTCAAAGATTTCAATTATCACCACTACAAATCAATATAGGTAATCACTTGCATACACCAAGACAATTTTACTCTAAATGCCATGTCTATATACATAACTGGACTCCATCCTTTAAATTCTCTGTATAAAAAGACCCAGCTCAAAGTTACATTCTCTTTGAAGCTATCTGGATTTCCCAGATAGAAGTCTTTGGTCTATATTTTTAATCTAAGTTTAGCATGGTTGCTTGGTCTTGCACTGTCATGTGTTGTACCACATGATCACTCAATAAGCTTTAGGTAGCAAAAGAGGGAGTTCTTTCCATCTCTGTGTTCTCCAAAAGTGTCTAGAAGATAGTCCAATGTAGGAAACAAATTATATTTAAGACTGTCATACACTGCTTTGTCTAAAAAAGGAGTTATTTTGAAATGAGAAAACAAAAGCTAACAACTTCCAACTTTATAAGCCCATTTGAGGCTTCCCATCAGCTTGTTTTTTTTTGCTTATTTGTGTGTGTGTGTGTGTGTGTGTGTGTGTGTGTGTGTGTGTGTGTGTTTGAGACGGAGTCTCGCTCTTGTCACCCAGGCTGCAGTGCAATGGTGCGATCTCGGCTCACTGCAACCTCTGCCTCTGGGGCTCAAGCAATTCTCTTACCTCAGCCCTGGGAGTAGGTGGGATTACAGGTGCCCGCCACTATGCTTGGCTAATTTTTGTATTTTTAGTAGAGAGAAAGTTTCATCATGTTAGCAAGGCTGGTCTAGACCTCTTGACATCAGGTGATCCGCCTGCCTTAGCTTGTATTTTGAATAACAACTCTAAACAGAATGCCGTGATGTCAACATTTCATTTTCACATCAAATTTTAATTCAAACCCAACTTTCCAACCTGTAAAATTTGCTGGTAGGCTGGCCAATAATATGTACATAACCTGAAATGCAAAATATGATGAAAAGCATAGTGTTATAAAATAGAATATTCCAGACATTCATAAATATGGATTTGATGGCCCATACTATGAATGATTCAGCACGCAGACCTTTGAAATTGTGATAGTCCTCTTTATGTACAGAATGAAAACCATCCAGAGGCAACAAAATGTCGAATTCTCTAATCCATCATATCATGAAGCCATCACAGCCTTGCACATGAGATTTGGTTGGTGGGAATAGAAAAACATTTGCAAGTCTCTGGATTTCTCTGGCTCTTTACTCAGAGATGTCACATGCATCCATGGGTTTGAGAATAAGTGTAATTGAAGTGAACTGCAATGTGTCTCTAATAAGTGGCTTTGAGAACATATATTTGTGTAGGCATATAGTACATATCTGTACTGAAGCACTCTTATCCTAAGTGTCATCTTGTAGCACAGACCTGATCAAACTCCGGGATTCAAAATGATAATTTATTTGGTATAAATGACACAAGCCAAAGAAGATAAAATATGTTAAGTACTTCTCTTGATTTTCTCTTCTCCAAACACACACAGATATTAAATAAACCACTCCCCTCCCGGTTCTTTTCCTTTAACCATGAGAATCACTGACCCACTGTGCTCTCAGTATTATCCATGTGAAATATCTGCCCCCTCATCGGGTACAACAGATTAAATGATGATTAAGCTGAGTGTTAAATTTAGGATGTTGTTTCACAAAACCTCCCTACCTTGTAGTGACATTTTTTTCTAAAGACATTTTCTTGTAATACTCCAAAAGTTAATGACTGAATTTTAGATGGAGGCATGACGTGAATCTCAAATGACCATAATTTCTTTATAGGCAAATTATATACAGAGTTTTCAAAGACGTGAAGAGAGTTATGCATCGTTGATTTTATACCCTAAGTGATGATTAGAAGTAAAATTTCTTAGCTTAAAAGTAAACAGAAAAATAAAGGAGGTATCTGACATGGGGAAAGAAAATCTCAGGAACATAGAACTGGGCTTGCATACTGTATAGTACTTGAAAAACCGTTAAGTGGAAATGTATGATCTCAGAATAGTGTTTTTAGGCTTAACTCTCTGCGATAACAGGTTCAGACTGACCTGGTATCTCATAAGACATTTTGATAGCAATTCAAATAAATGAGATTTTTTAAACATTGAAGTTAAAGAAATTTTTAAAACTCTTCAAATGCTTATTTTTTTAGGAAGGATAAAATGGTCTTATTTTCATCTGTGGAAACAATACACATGAGCAGCTTTATTCTGAAATGCCATTGCAAAGATTTGTAATGCTTTTCTATTGTTTTACGATCAGAGTTGCTGCTTTTGCAGTGCAGAACAATGCTGCATTATATAGAATCGGCAGATTGAACCAAGAAAACAAAAGGGAGCACTGGGCAACCATCCGTTCCTTTTAGGACTCTTGCCCTCGCCACATATCACCAGATCTCTTTAGTTAGTCAGTCTTCTTGTGGCCATAACAACCCCGAGGGCTGACTCGGGGATGCTTCCATAGAAAATCTCTCATTCACTTTCTCTCTCTGAACTAAAACTGTAGCCCAACAGCTCCCATTCCCTATTCTAAGATGAATACTAAGACTCATCTGTGAAGTCCTTTCAAATATACACAATTTAGCTTATACGTATATACATTAAAGCCAACTCCATGGTAGTTATATTCATCTGAAAATCCTTTAGTTTATATCCTGCACTGATTCAGGCTGTCTTGGGGAGATACGTCTGTGTGTGAAAACAAAAAAATGGCAAATGAATTGACTTGAGGTTATAAACAAAGATCCGATTCTATCTAATCCTTGCTAATTTCCCCTCCTTCTTTTATTTTCCAAGTAAGCCTAGTTAACAAAGAAATTTTACAGAAAAAAAAATGCCTTGGTAAATATTATCTGAATAATCCTCTATAAGAAAAGCAGGCTCTATTTCATAAATGGAATAAAATGCCTTTGAATATGATTAGAGATTGCATCATTATGTCATCCTGTTTTGAGCATCATTCCTTTTTTATTTTCTAGTGGTTTCTATTTTATTGTTACTTTGTGATAACACACTAACATGCTATGTGTTGTATGTTAGCAGTAATATTATGTGCTTGTTTTTAGATTGTTCTGGATTTATCTTTTCAAGGTCAAAACATTTCAGTCTGCTTAAGAAGCTACTCTGTGGAGATTTTTTTTTCATAACTTCTATTTCTTTTTAATTCCCAGACATGTTTAAAATTCTAATCAGAGTGTGAAAGCCACATTCAAATATGATATAACACAGAGAATCAAAATCAATCATCTACCACAACTTTATCCCTATTTTATGATCCATCAACAAAAAGCTATTTTTGTAATCTCGTTAGATTTGCCAGCAATAATGACCTAAGATTAAAAATTGGGGAGGGCTTTTTTTTCATTTTCTCTTTTTCCCCTTGGGTAGTATGATTCACTCTGTGGGTACTGCACTTAAACAAGTATTCACACCCCCTCTGATCTGTTCTTGTCAGCTTTTTCATGTTAGTACAACAGGAAAGCACCCCATCAATCATTGTTTCTTCATCTATCAGTCAAAATGTTCATTTTGTGACTATTGGTCCTGCATCCCAATCTGTGACAATCTATGAGTGTATATTTAATTTAAAAAGAGCAATGTGGGAAGACACAACACTTTAAGTGAAGTTTGTAAATGAGAAGAGCTAAATTATCAGTTACTGTGTCAATGTTATTGATGGGTGGACTAGAAAAATACCTACTGGATGCAAAGTCGAGAAACTTACTGTAAGCCCTACCCCAGTCCCCTAAACCCATTTTGCTGCTGAATGCTGACACTTGAATAGTTTCTGATAGGCCAAGGTTTTTCGTATCACAAGGAGAAAGTAGATTTAAAAGGCAAAAATCCAAAGGAGAGAATACAAAAGGAAAAATATAGATCCTGTGGGCAGATTTTGGTAGAGTAATTAACAGAAACAGAGTGCTTAATGCCAATATGCTAAATACTAAATGCTAACCGAATAACTATAGGAGGTAGACTGAGGTGCCAAGATTGGAGACTGGTGTGGTAAAGGCCAGCTCCACTTGACAGTAAGAGTCGGATGTTAAACAACTTGCCATAGCTGCCTCCTGACTTCTTGGAGGTGTTTTTTTAGAATATAACTGTGGTCCTTTGGTCCACTATACCTAGGGACTTTTGGACTTCCTCCTGCCTACAATTGCGTGCAAAGGTCAAATAAACTGGCAAGGAACAAAATGTGAGACCACAAATGCAAAAATGGCACAACTGCACTACTGAAATAAATACGTTGAATCAATGAACTCTGATATTTCTGCATTAAAATGCAGCTTGCAACCACTAACTGCAAAGGAAAATATGAAGGGAAAATAAAGAGATGGTAACTAGGACCTAATATCTATATTACTAACTCAACTTCAGAAAGTTGGTATATTTTCAAAATTGCAGATATGTCTGCAACCTAAAGTATACTTCATAGCATTTAATTAATTAATTAATTTTGAAGTTTATTTTAGAGGCAGAATCTCACTCTGTTGTCCAGGCTGAAGTGCAGTGGTGCAACCGTAGCTTATTGCAGCCTGAAACTCCTGGCATCATGTCCCCCTTTTACCTCAGCCTCCTGAGTATCTGGAACTATAGGTATCCACTACCATGGTCGGCTAATTGTTTTTATTTTTTGTAGAAATAGGGTCTTCCTATGCTGTCCAGGATGGTCTCAAACTCCCGGCCTCAAGGGATTCTCTTGCCTTGGCCTGCCAAAGCACTGGGATTATAAGTGTGAGCTACCACGTCCAGCCCATAGCATTTTATTTTGAGGTTTAGGGACTAACGTGTGTATGATTTAGCAAGTGATGTTTAATGGCATTTTAAAATAATGGGTACCAAATAGAAACGTATGAATTGTTACTTGAATATAATTAAACTTTGTAAATTAATGGATTAGACTAGAAAGAAAAGATTCCAGAAATTTGAGGGGAAAAGGTAGGTTCTAGCACTGTCTCTTACATTTACATATTCTGTCTGTTTGGGCATGTTATTTTATCTTTTTGCATCGGTTTCCCTCTTAATGTATGGGTGAATATATAATAGTTGGAATTAAACCATAAATCAGTCAACTTCTAAGCTGTATACTATAAAAAACATTTGATGTAAATAATAAAACTCCTTGGAATCTGTCCCTCTTTGTGTCTCCATAACCTTCTATATTTGTTAGTTGAAATAATTATTTCTAAGTCTGAGGATTGTCCATTCAAGGTTGAACACTCAAGAAAACTGATTTATCTCTGTTCATCTCTACAAAGTCAGAATCGAAGAAGCATCATATCCTTTGGTTAAATTCAAGGTAGGGAAAAGAAAATCAAACCAATTCTACCAAAGAACAAATCAATTGATTTGATTATGAGTAGGTGGAGGTTACATTCTTTATCTTACTGAATTTGAGGTAAAATCGGTTAATCCTTTTATCCCCAATATTCATATTTAATCCAGAAAATGCTCTCTGGAACAAAAGTAATCATTACAAAATAAAGGCTTTATTCTACATTTTAGCAATAGTCTTTCCTTGGCTTATAAAAAATTAATTGCGGGGTATTCTCTTGATTGGGTACTTTAGATCCTGGTGACTGTTCTAACTGATGGGGCTGAAAGACAGTTCCCTTATCTCATAGCCAAATCACCTCCATGCAAATTGATCTGGGAGTGCCTTTAGAATAAACACAGCTGGATTCTCTGCAGCCATTTATGGGTCCAGTTTCCTAGGCTTAATTTTGATTTATAACTACTGAAATTAAATTAGCCATCTTCACTGCTTAAGGGTGGCTTTGATTTCACCAGTGCAGTAGGGAGACTATTTACCAACATATTTTATCAGTAACATTTCAACCTGGGTAAGGGGGTGGCGGTGGGGGGAAGGCATCTTATCTTTGGTATTTGTACTTGAGATTCCTTCAGAATATTTTAATTGTATTATTTACCGACAAATGTGAGGATTAGATTGTCAAATCAGACTCACATGAATTAAAGATCTTGCCCAGCATCAAGCTTTGCTAAATAATTTCAAGGATATAAGCTATCAAGTTCAGATAAGGTGCATCATATAACATAAAGTGGTGTACCTTATGTCATATGCTCCAGGTAGCCCTGCCTCATAGATCCTGGGTTCTATTAACTATGGGTAATCCCTTAGCCAGAGACATCTTGCTAGGGACAGAGATATAGTCTCTTATTCATAGTAAGTAACATTAGTCTATTTCCATTTGACAAAGAGATTAGACTAAGTCTTTGCTTTCCTCTAGGAGCACAAATTATTGTACAAAACGAGAAACAAAATTTGAGAGATTAAAATATGTGAAATATGTTAATAGTTCTAAGAAGGCTTTTATCTAGAACACGGTAATAAATGTCGACGTGCTATAGTAGGAAGAGTTGAAGATAAATGGTTAGATATCGCTTTTTATCCATATGACTTTGTGCATTAGTTTTTTGAGCCTCAGTTTTACTAATATTCCAAAGGATTAGGGAAATAAGCCTAACCAGAGTGACTCTGATTTTTTTTTTTTTTTTTTTGAGATGGAGCTTCGCTCTTTCACTCAGGCTGGAGTGCAGTGGCACAATCTTGGCTCACTGCAACCTCTGCCCTCCAGCTTCAAGCGATTCTTCTGTCTCAGCCTCCCAAGCAGCTGGGATTACAGGCGCCCACCACCATGCTTGGCTAATTTTTGTATTTTTAGCAGAGATGGGGTTTCACCATGTTGGGCAGGCTGGTCTTGAACTCCTGACCTCAGGTGATCCATCCGCCTCAGCCTCCGAAAGTGCTAGGATTACAGGCAAGAGCCACCACACCCAGTCGACTATGGAAATTTTAAAAGACAGTACATATACGTGTGTGTGTGTGTGTGTGTGTGTGTGTGTGTGTGTGTATGTATACACATATGCTATATACACACACACACACACGTATATCACAGAACTGAAGACCATAAAATGTTCTATACATATGAAAAAATGAGAATTTGAAATGTACATAATTCTTCACACAGATAGCTGACAGTGTTATAAATCTCCTTTCTTATAAATAAGAAAAACAGTCTCAGAAGTAAGTAATATTCTGATGGAGAGTTAGAAAAGAAAACCTGTCTTACAACTCTTTAAACATGCTTCTCCTCTAAGCTAAATCATAGTTTGCTAAAGAAGGTCGTGATAAGGTAGAAGAAAGACAAGAAAAGCCAAGGCAATGGGGTGAAGCAGGCGGAGAAAACTGTTTATGCCTCTTCTTCCAATGTCTATTTATTTTCTTTGTGGTTCTGAGCAACTATTTCTTCTTTTATCTTGCAACTGTCAAAGCAGCTCTCTGTAGAGAAACCAGCAAGCACACCCATTAAAACCAAAGCATGAATTTTCGGGTGAGGATCAGTGAGGCTCTCTTAAGAATACCTGAATTTTCACAGAGATAAACATATTTATTTGATTTAAATGGTAGAAAGTGTTAATTACTAAGTTTCATATACTACCAGGAGTCATAGAGAAGTCATTTTGGAGACCAAGAGTATATTCCTAGACCATGTAATCACATCATTTGAGTAGCTGCTTACTGAGTTTATTCACAATGAAAGCCTGATACATAAATTCTTTAAACAGAAACCAGTGGCATTGTTAATTTCCACTTTTGTTTCCAAATTGTTGCTTTTGTCTCATTGAGAGCATATTACTTACTTCAAGCACCTTAACAAACAAAGCTGGGTCATACACAAACGTCCTACTGTACCAGCAATAAGACAATATGAATACCCTGCAACCTCTCAACAACCAGAAGACAAAGATGTATTTGGAAGGGGCAGATGGGAAGTGAAAAAGAGAAATAAAATATACTTTACAGGGAATATTTTGCACACGTAATTCTGAGTGTTATATTTTTAGCTTGTATAAATAAACTTCATTAGTCTTCATTTTGAATATACAGGAAAAGTTTTTTTAGAAAAGACTCATTGTCACAAGCTGATAAGGTAAGTTAGGACAGTATATGATTAATATGCTACAATGATGTCTAAGAGAGAGGATGCTCATTAAATTTGTGTGTGACAAAAGTTGGAAAGAGTGTTAAGACCTTGAAATACTGGAGCATCTTTCAAAGTGAAACTTGACAAGTTAGAGAAATGGTCAGATAGAGAAATGGATTTTAATCAGACTGAAAGGAAAATTAATGTATTGGTTTTGTCAGTTGTACCTTCATCTTGAACGTAATGACTGCCTGTTACTTCCTCTGTGGTTTCATCCGAACCTAACGCGACACTCCCCTGAAAGGTCTCCTCTCTCCCTTCCTTGCTCTTCTGTAGCCCATGCTTCACTTCTCAACTATGGTGATGTTTTGAAGATGTGAATTAGATTACATCATTCTTTTCTTCAAATCCTCAAATAATATTTAGAATATAATTCAAATCCTGGGTTGCCATGGTCTACAAGGCCTCAAATAAAATAGGTTCTGCCCACATCTTTGTTTCATTTTCTTTCTTTTCTCTGCCTCCAGGTTGGCACTTTTGTTCCTTTAACTCTTCAATTTACCTTGGTGCTTTGTACCAGCTGTTCCCCCAAAGTAGACAGCTCTCCATAGCTCTTCACACGGCTGCACTTCCTGCTACTCTCACTTAAAGTCACTGCCTTGAGCCAATTTCGTTAATCTGGCTCTAAATAACAACACAACCCCATCTACACTACAGTTCATCCTAATACCAGTCTAATTTTCTTCATAACACCTATCATTATCTGAAATCATCTTAGTTGTTTCACTTTAGAATCCTCCTTCTCTCATGAGAAAGTAAACATTGTGCGGGCAGGGTCATGGTCTTGTTTGTCCTGTACTTCCCACCCGTACAGCAGTGCTGGCACTTAGTAGGTGCTCAGTAGATATTCGTTGACAGTATAAGACAGAAGTCCTCAAATGTTGTCCAAGGACATTTGGTAGTCCCTGAGACTTTCGGGAGGGCCAAGGGCCAAAATCTTTTTCATCATCTCACAAATATACAACGGTGCTGTCTAGAGGCCAAAGGATATATGCTATCACAAAAGATTGCCTGCAGAAGTAGTTGTGAGAATCTAGCTCTCTTAAGCCAAACATCAAAGAGATTGTCAATAATGTAAAATAAGTCACTCTTCTCACAAAATTATCTTAGTGTTGGAATATAATTATTTTTCATAAAAGTACACAATTTATTTTAACATGCAACATGCAATGTGGTGGCTATTTTAAAATGAATTAATAAATATATAAATGTTTTCTCAGTCAATTCTCAATAGAGTAAACACTAATACATATACATAACCTATACAACAAACATAAACTTCTCAGAGGTTTTCAATACATTTAAAAAGTAAAAAGGGATCTTGAATCCAAAAATGTGAAAACCACTGAAACAGAATCTCATCAACTAGTCTCCATTATTCCCTAGAAAACATCCAGTAGAACTTTCTTCTCCAGTTAAAATTGCCCTCAAAGAAGGTTTTCTCTTTCCTGATATCCATGCTTTTGCTATTCATTGTTTATGAAATGTCTGTCTGTTTCTCTCTTTCTCATTTCTCCATGTTTGAAGTACACTTTAAAGCTGTCCAAAGTAGTCTTTTCCATGAAATTTGACTCATAGCTCTACCACAAAAAGTTCTCTCTATATATACCTTTAGAGCATTAAGAACCTATACTACCAATTGACAATAGTATTGTTAATTATCTTCTCAAAGTGCCTGTAAATCTCTCTAAAGGCAGAAACCTCTCTAAAGACAGAGACTGTCAGACAGTCATGGTGCAGCCTGTATGTACCATGCAGGAAACACAAAATGATAGCAGGATCTAGCCTCCAACAAACTCTTTTCTCTTAAAACCTAGTATGGGATGATAAAGATTAAATGGAAACAAAAGCATTGGTTAGCTATCCACCCAAAAATTAATATTCTGGCAATATTCACACCTTATAACTTTTGGGATTCACCACCCAAGGTAGACAGAATCCTCACCACCACCAGCAAAGAAGTCCAAATCCTAA
This sequence comes from Homo sapiens, assembly GCF_000001405.40. Lineage (NCBI taxonomy): Eukaryota > Metazoa > Chordata > Mammalia > Primates > Hominidae > Homo > Homo sapiens. The sequence goes on from NC_000002.12 coordinate 50,699,325, forward strand.
TTTCCAGATCCTGTGAATATGTCCTTAAGACGTAATTAATGTTATAGATCTAGAAACAGAGGAATGATCCAGGATTATCTGAGTGGATCAACTCATTGCATGAGTTCTTCAAAGCAGGAGCTTTGTTTGGAGCAGGAGAGAAGTGGCAGAAGGGGAAGTCAGAGACATCTGAAGCATGAGAGGGACTTCACTTCCCACTGCTTGAAGACAGAGGAAGGGGCACCTGGAAAGCATGAAATGGAATGAGGGCAGCCTCCAACCAAAATCCAGGCCCCCTGCTGACAGCCAACAAGGAAACTGGACCTTAGGCCCACAACCAGAAGGGAGTGAATTTAGTCAAAAAACCCGAATGGCTTGAAGCAGACTTAGCCTCAGAACTTCCAGAAAGGAACATGGCCCTGCCAACACCTTGCCTTTGGCCCAAGCAGAGGACCTACCCTAGACACATGATACTCAGACTTCTGACCTACAGAAGTGTGAAATAATAAATGTAGTCTGTTATAAGCCATTGTTGGCTATTTTTACAGCAACCATAGGAAAGTAATAAAGCACTCATGGCATGTTCAATTCCAATAGCCCTTGCAGCAGACACACAAAACCACCAACTTCCTCTAAGCTCCAAGTACTGCACTCTGTCCACTCACCCTGCTGCCTTCTTTAACTTACAAATTATGCACACAGTAGGTATGTTTGCATAATTAAAAGATAAGTAGAAGAACTAATAGTCTTTAAAAAAAATTGTTCCTTTAGTTGTTCTGAATATATGTTTGTCCTTTGATAAAGGACTCTTTGCAAGGTTTCCGTATGACACTTTATTCTTAAAATTTTTGAGCAGTTAATTTAAAAGTGAATCCAAATGGATATCCAAATCTAAAGTCATCTAAACTGTTAGTAGTGTCAAATGAGATTGCTCCACCACAAGCTCCATTTGGAAAAGTAACCAGCACCTGACCTACAGCTGAGTTCCATGTAATTTAGTTGTCAAAGTGATGGAGCACAACTCTTCCATTTAATTTCTATGACATCTGTATCAACTTGACTGTATCCTTTGCTGGGCCAATGGCAATTTTTCTGGACAAGATATGGTGTAAATGGCAGGGCCAAAACACAGGAGAAAAAAAATGTAGGTGAAATTTTAAAAATAAGATAAAAGATCACATGTTTCCTAGGCATCCAAAATTTAAACCATCTATTTGATGATATTAAACTCAAAGTTGCTGTGACCTTATTGTATTAGTAATAATAGCACCAAGGTAACAAGTCCTTGGAATCTTTCTATAGCATAGACTATTAACTAGGCTCTAATAAAATACCCTATTTTGTTCCCACTGCATGTCACTTTTGTAGGGCATATCTTGGAGTTAAGAAATAAAGATTGACCATATTTATTGATTTGCTCATTCTCTTTAGAGAAAAATGTGAGGATAAGTTTTTTATTTGATACCTAGACCAATAGATTTCCAAAGAGCTGGGATCAAGATTTTTTTTTTTTTTTGAGACGCCCGGCTAATTTTTGTATTTTTAGTAGAGACGGGGTTTCACCGTGTTAGCCAGGATGGTCTCAGTCTCCTGACCTCGTGATCTGCCCGCCTCGGCCTCCGAAAGTGCTGGGATTACAGGCGTGAGCAACTGCGCCCGGCCAGGGATCAAGATTTTTAAAATCTCTTAAATTGTCCGAAGGGTGCTTCTTCCACTACATCATAGACAGAAATAAAATTTAGTTCTAGTTAGACACCCTGCTCTTTGAAATTAAAAAATAACTACATTAAAGTAGGCCTTTCCTTCCACTGATAAAATGTTCCAAAGTTATTTATCACACCTTGTCTATTACATTTTTGAACAGATAATATTTCTACTATCTAATTTTTTAAAGCATAAAAATATACAGAGAAAAGTTTCAATCTCATCATCTCTGTCTCTTATCTGTCCAGTTACCTGCACTCCCACAAACCCGTCTAAAACAACTATTGTCATTATTATTATTATATTGACTCTTCCAGAGTTGCTTTTGGCATATACAAACAGTATTATTATTACTGTATTTTATCTCACACTTTTGGTAACATACTTTACAGACAATTCTTTTCACAGAAGGCTAGCAAGTCTTACGGCCATTTGACAGATTAAAGCATCAAGGCTCAGGAAAATTAAACCTTTTGCCTACATATATACTGACACTTGAGAGTCTTGCATTTTTCTGAATGGTATTCTATTTCTATCATACCTTATTACCTCTGTTAGCACATGATTACCTACCATCATTTATTATTCTCTGTCAGCGTCCTGCATATAAATCCCCATCACAAGGGACTGAAAGGATCTTAGAATTCATTTAATCTTCTACTCATTCAGTATTTGCATCACATGGTAACTCCCATTCCTCTTCAATGCTTGGATACCTCCAGTAAGTTGTAAGCCCTTTAAGGATGGGAGACATTTTCTGCTATTGTTTTCCCTCTGTTATAATTTATCATCTACTCTTTTCTCTCTTCTATCAGGATAATTATAATGGCATAATCCCTTTTATGTGACTTCCCAGTCACAGTTAGTTTTTTACTATAAGAATAATTTGTAACCAGTCCCTCATAGGATCTCAGTGCTTGTCCATTGTTGCTTTTTCGTATATTTGATAAATATTCAATTTAGAATAATCATTGGTAATAACTTCTGTATCTTTACAAACTAATGACTGAAAATAATCATTATAATGTAAGACTCCTTTAATTGGGTTTCCAAAAAGATTGTTTCATAGGAAATAAGACCTACAGGTATTCGAAGGAAAAAATAAAAGCATTACATGGTCAGGTAAGTAGGATTATTAGATATTCTTAGAAATTCACCGTGTCCATTATTATGTACAAAGCTCAGAGAAGTGGATATAACTTTGTTTAAACCAGAGTTTTCTAAACATATTTTCACATTGAACTCCTTTTCCAGATAACATAGATGAGCATCCTACAGGCCATTTTCATGAACCATACTATGGGGAAAAACGTTGCAAAAGACCATTTGTTTTTAAAAATGTTGTAATGAAAAAAAAAAACAAAACAAAACCTCATTTGTATTCAGCATATGTAAAACACAGAAGAGAAAGCATATCTGAAAGAATGACAAATAGCTCAGTTCTCTTTTCCAAGCTTCACAAAGCTACATAGTTCATCTTCTCAATATAACTCAAAGAAGAACAGAGAAAATTTTCTGTATGCACATAAATGTATTCATAGCATTTTTTTGAATTTATAATGCCTTGGCCGCCACATCTCAGACTGAAGAATTAAAAACAACAGTATTTCATACTTTTCTTGATTTTTTTAAACTTCTCTTAGCCAAAGAAATCATACATTGCTGTACTTACATTGTATGATTATTTGTTATTTTAGATAACTCCTCAGATAAATTCACTAAATTAAAACACTGTATCGAATATGTTTTGCTTTTTTGTCTGGACAGTCTTTTTATTGCAACATATAATGTAAAAAGTAATATTTATTCATTGTCACTGTTATAATTATTTCTCTGATTTTAAAAACAGTAACAGACAAGTTTTTTTTCCCCCAGGATTCTCCATTATATCTAACTGAATTCCCCTATCAGGATGCCCTTTTTGTTTTGTTCTGCTTCCCCCTTTATAATAGGATATAAACAAGAGACAGAAGTTAAATCTCCAGTGAGAGAAAAGTAACACCTAACGAACAGACAAACAAACACAAAAACTGGTGACAGTCTCAACATTCTCAAATGTTTTGCTCAAGCACTCTATTACTGTTAGTATTGCTCATTTCATTTAATTGTAAATAAGGTAGATTTTGCTGCTAAGCAAAATGATAGAAGCTAGATCTTCCTAAGGACAAACAGTTATAAGAACATCTGTACCTGAGGGCAAACCACCAGAAAAAGCAAGAAAAACTCCTAATAGTGAGACAGAATGAGGGAAAGGGGAGAAAGACTAAAATGTACCTGCCAAGAAAATGGCATATGTTTAACAGATCCAGGTAACTCTTTTTTGATGATTGCAGTAACAGATAAATGCAGACTGACCTCTGCACCAGGTATTTCTAGATATCCAGATGGCACTCAAGGGAAGGGAGCAACCTTAGCTTAAAAGTTTTATTTCAGAAGGTGGTGGAGGGTTAAGAAGAAGGAAAGGTAAAGATGTGTCAACATCATCTTCTACAAGGCTTGTTCATATGTTATAGTCCATTTGAGAAAGGTTCATTTAAAGTATGTTTTGGTGATCAATGGTTGCCCAAATAGGCCCTGCCTCAGTAGAGAAACCCATGGAGTGCCATAAAGGGCATCAAGGATAGACCCAACATAAAAGACTACTTACAGTAATTTAATAGCAACTTAATTCAGATCAGAGCTGTGCAATAATGAGGAACGGTTAACTATGAATTGATGTTTATTGTATGTTAGAATTTGAGCTAAGAATTTAACATGGATTATAGATTACCCACTTAATTAATCCTATAGACAATCCTGTGAGATTCATTATACTAACTCATTTTCCAGGTTAGAAAATTGAAACAGACTGAATAAGAAACTTGCCTAAAGTCATATCGTTTCTACGTGGTAAAGGCAAGATTCATATCCAGAGCTGGGCATTTTAAGTTTACTGTAGAATAAAATAAAATAAAAGCACAATTCAAAATATATTAAAATATATCTAGGGGAGCCAGCTCTGAGTTTAACTTACATCACTTCTGGTGGATTGAATGGATTTCAGTGGTCACTCAGCTATATTATATATAAGTAGGAAATTTTCTAGGTATGGAAATATATAAACTGGATCAGATTCTAGAAGACAGCTGGTGGCCAATATTATCTTTATTATTCTCTACTGATAGAATAGTATGCATCCTCTTATATCAACAGAGAAGAAAGATTATAAAAGATTGATACTAATCCAAATATAGTTTTTTTAAATTGTTTCCAAGCTTGTCCTCTTGCTGGTTCACAATTGGGTCAAGCACAATTTTTAAAAATATATATTATTCATCTTTAGGCAAAGTTTCCTTACAATTCTTAAATCAAAGGGAGTAGGAAGTTTGCATTACCTAAGAAAATAGAAATAAAAGAAAAAATGAACATGGAACAGATTACTATTTCAATATGCTGCAGGATATTTGCAAAAATATTTAAAAGAGAGTTACTTTTCTAAAGCATTAATTTAGAAGCTAAAAATCTGAAAATTGAATTGATAAATAATGGTTTCATTTTAAGAAAGATCTTAAAATGTTATATGAGAAAATTAGGTCATATCACTTTTTTTTTTTAACATTGTTAGTCTTCAGGATTTTTGGCATAATTTATATGTGTAAATTTATGTTTTTGTCTTATATTAATATTTTAGGGCTCTGTGTTTCATTTCTTTCATTTTACTGCTTTCCTTGATCTCATTACTTATGATTAATTAGAATTTTTCAAAACCTAACCTGGCACAAATAAATACCAATGAAAGAAATAAGAAAATATTGGCCCTTCTATCACAATTAATGTAGCATATTAATAATATATAATATTACAATTTACAATAGTTTCTAAATATAAATTTCCTCATATTTTTCTCACGAAAACCTGTGAGTTAAATAAGGCAGGAATTATTATTGTCATTTTACTGATAAATAAACTGATCTTTCAAGAAGTAAAATTACTTGCCTAAAGTTATGCAGCTTAATAACTTACGAATAAAACATTTGTTTACAATATATACACAGAAACACAAACACACACACACACACACACACACACACCCATCCCCAGGAACTGCCGATTTCTAGCATAAATCTACTGTAACTCAGAACTGAATTAATAATTATCTAGTTTGCTGATAAGTTGACATTTTGACAAATGTGTCTCAGTATAAGAGGAAACCATACAAAGATGAATGTATTTACAAGTTTATTTGAATCATAATACGAATGGGCTTAACTTCCAATTCTTTATTCAATTGGTCCATATTTTATCAATTTTATTTAAACAAATAAATGGGTACGATTCTATTGCTTTCAATAGATAAAACTGAATCAGACTGATGGTATCAATAATTATGTTAAACCTATCAAAGTATTTGAGGGCTTTGTGGTAGAAGTTAAATGTGATAATCCACGGAAGCACTTAGCAAGTGCCTGGTATACAGTAAGTGCTCCACAATTATGTGAGTAACATGCTGCTTTATAACTAATCACAAAGAAGTGATCTGGCACTATGAATAAGATATATCTTGACTTTCATAATTTTAGATTACTGGATAATCTCCTGACCAATGCAGTTGGATTATTTCCAACCTCCCACATACAATGTTTTTCTTGAATAATTCAGTGGGAAATAAAGGAGATAAATGAAGTCTCAGAAAATCAGTTGCAGCTTCAACCTCATTTTGACATTTCCTTCTAAGTACTTCCATCCACACAAGTGAAATGCTGTTGCTGCCCCCAGAGACACCGCTGATGAGCCCATGCTTGTCACCTAATTCAGGAATTGCCCTTATGTTGATTGGCCTATGGCCCATAGTGCGACCACACATAAAAGATCTGCACAGACAGGAATAGTGGTAATAAACAAAAACAATCAGAGGCTCTCCTACAAATTCTAATTAGAGATAAAGGAGTCAGTAAGTAGTACAAAGAAAAGCACAAAAATCACATATGGAGAAAAGAGGCAAACTGAGTAAAGTTACTCAGCAGTAGACTAGTAGAACAGTGATTCACAAACTCTGCCATGGATCCCCGTCAAGCTTCCAAGTGCTAAACTTCATTCTGGTGTCTACTAGACATTGCTATCATGAGGTTCTTGTTCTCTCTTGAGCTCTTAATCATGTAGCTATTTTACAAAAACTATGGTTACTGCCTTCTTTACATCTTTGTCAATCCTTCAAAAGCATTTCCATTATTTAAGTAATGTAAGTGAACTCTCAACAAAACAGTCTACTAACTCCAGGGTACTTTTTGATACATATACCTGCTGGGTTATATAGTCATTGCCTGTTCTGAGTTTGAGAAGACGGTTAAGACAATAATCACATCACGCATGAGATACATTCTAGTATATTTTATACAACAGGTTAGCAAATACTTCTGTTAATGGCAGGGAGACTGTTACTTTAGTAAATAACCTGAGCTTATTGATAAGGGAAACTTGATAGCAATTGGAGAATTAGAATTAGAATTAGAATCTCTAATTCTCCAACTGGTAAATGACTCCTCTAAATAGTTTATTCAAGATGAACATTGGCTTTACAAGAAATCTTCACAGCCAATAAAGTAGACACTAGCTGTGGTTTATAAAAGCTGAAAACACTATTAAATATTTCAGTTCTCTCTGATAGTGTTATATTTGACTCTACTTAGCCAAACATGTCAATTTCATAAGAAATCTATAAAATGTTATTGTTAAATGGGAATCTTATCAATGACCGGTGCATTTTTAATTTCAATATGATAGCAGAAGGCAACCAATATAAGTCATATGAAAAGACATATTTGGATTTTTTTTTTTTTTTTGCTACAAGGCAAGGGTCATCTGAAACATTTCCCATTTCATATTTTGACAATTTATCCTTCATTGTTTAACATAAAGCCTTCTAGTTTTCCTTGTTTCATAAAATTTGAACAATCATGAGGTGGTAGTAGCCCATTTATCTCATGGTAAATTTCAAATGAACTTACACATGGTTTAGATGGGTTTAAAGTGGCAGCTGTAATTTTTGTTGGGTATATGCAGCTGTCTGTAATGATTCTGGTCATACATTTTCATTCACCTTATTGTCTGAATATTTTCTAAAGGAAAATAGGTGTGTATGTATTTGCTTGGCCCAACTTTGATATGTCTTGCTGGCTTTCATCACCTTTGGAAGAAATTGCATTTCCCAGTAAGCTGTTCCACAGTGGAATGATAAGTGATGACCATCCTGTGGATTTTCACAGCTGTACAAAAGACATTCAGGTGCACTTGTCTTTTGAATCAGAACCCAGTTAGCCCCTCGCACATTTACAAAATTGCTTTTGGGAGAGTCAAACCTGGATGACTTCCAAGCTAGTTAAAAATAATTCTGAAGAAAAGTGCAGTGCTGGTTCTTGGCGGTAGAAATGTGAGTTATGTTCAGCTGCAGTAGATTCCTTTCAGGCAGTTCTGATACCCATTTCAACTTCCAAATTTCTGGCAGACGTTATCTTGTACTTTCAGCTTTTTTGTGATAAACATATTGAAAATTCAGTCAAACAGCTTTTTATCATTTCAAAACTTGAGCTCAAATTTAATCCTGCTGCCCTGATGAAGCCTGGGAAGCTGCTAGGGCATTTTCATTATATCCAGACTGGACTGCAGAACTCCTTGCCATTCTTCAGGACTCTGACAGCATCATTCATTTAGAACAATGTGATCGATCCAGAAGAAGCCAGCAGCAACAAACTCTGGGTACTCATACGGAAGAGCATATCCTATCTAGTTGAAAAATGTTTCCGTCTTCATTCTTAGCCTAGAGATAAAATATCCCATCATTTGGACTTTAGATCCTAGAAGATCTTACAGATTTTCCTACAGTATATTAACAGTGTTTACATTTAAATCTCAATCGTTAGCTACAGATGGATAATCTCCAACCAACAATGTTAGAGTTGTCTATCATTAATACATTTCCTATTTGTAAAAATGTGGATTGCTAACTGAACATTTTGTTTCTTATAAAGATTTCAGGTATTATATAGAAGTAACCTACTAATCTTTGATATATGTAGGAATAGAATACTCATTAGTGTTTTAGGACTAACCTAAGAAAATTACGAGTTCCTAAGCTGGCCAACACTCAAGATTAGAACTGATATAAATGAATCTGAAAGTTAAAGAACAATGGAGTTGAAAAAAGATTTAGAAATTATCTCATGTAACGATTCCTGATCTAGGTTCTTCAGGCACTCAAAAATAAATGGATAAGCAAGTACTAGTGGTTCATGAACTATTTTCAATACTTATAAAATTATCATAGAAACTGTAACTAAAGAGAATGCACAGGTTAACTGAATTGTCAATTTTAGCAGCATTTGATTGGAATTATATCACCTCTGTGGCAAAGCTTGGCATTTCTTCTTATTGGCCAATTAACTTTCTATGTAATAAGATTTGTTGTTGCTGCTGGGAACAGGGCTTGAGTTTTCACTGCTAGAGCCTCGTTAGTAAGATAAAGGACTTAAAGTACCTGGTAAAAGGCAAGCTGCACAGTTTAAGAGAAGTTTCTTGACCTTGAATTGTTGTCCTCAACAACAGGCAGGGTACCTAAGTTACACAGAGGGAAGACTTATTTTCCCATAAAACAGGGTACCCTTACCTAAGACAACCCAATAAAGTGTGATGGGAAATAGGACCTCACACAGGAGGAGAAAGCAAATCTAAGGTGTAAAGTATCGGTGGGATCTAGTCTGCTTCTCTCCATTCCTCATTCTAGCTGTGCATCCTTTTCCCACTTTTTCTTTTCTTGAAACTACTCATGTAAGGAGCCAGAGCAGGGATCCAGGGTGACAGTGAAGAAACCCTAGGCTACAGAAGCCTGAATCAAGACCACTGTGTGAGCTTCCAGCCATAGCTCAATCCAGGCACTCAGATCAGGAACAAGCCTGTTGGTGCTTTGGCCATTGGCATTCACTGAGGAGAACAGGGTTCTATGCAGACATTTGATTGCCTGCTGATTTCTAACAGGGACTGTCCTCTGTTCATGGCTTTCCAAGAGCCAGCCTTTATGGGAGCCTCTCAGAGGTGACAAGGTCAGTATGGGCCCCTCCTCACAGCACTGATGCCTCACAGATGGCATCAGCTCGTACCACAGGCAACCACATGAGCTTACTTGTTGAGGAATGAGCTTGGTATTGGTGGATGGCACGTGATATTTGCACACATTTATTCAACAAATACTTATTGAACACCTGTTATATGCTTGCTAGGTACTGAGATGAAACCCGGAACCATACATTGACTCTATCTTTATGGGGTTTACATTCTAGCAGGAAAAATATATTAAGTGTACAGTTACCAAAAATTACCAACAATTATGATAAGTACAGTGAAATAGAAATACACAGTGTTATGAGACATTATAGCAGGAGGATCTAATCTACTCTGGAGCATCAGAAACGGCTTCTCAGAGGAAGTAGCTTGTGAAGTTTGACAAGGGTGGCCATATAACCTATCATCCAAACTGAATCACTTCAGAGAAGGTACCACTTTAGAAAGAGGGTGCCATTAACAAGTACCCACAGGATAACAGGCACCAAGAAGGATTTGGTTACCTGAGATATGACCTGAAGGAATAAAATCAGGAAGACCAAGAGGAATCTGAAAATACCCGAAATCTGCTTCTCATGGCTGGGACTGTTGTTTTGAACTGATCCTGGCAGACTTTTGGCCCACTGAGTGAGGACTGTTGTTCTATGCTTAAGGAATGAACTATTCATTGGTTCAAGTCTAAAATGTTAGAACTTTGGCTCATATTAAATTACTTGACCATTCTTAGAAGGAGGCCAACACTTGACATATCAGAACATTCCTCTAAGATCACAAGGCTATCAAGAATTCAATTAGAATGAAGGTCCTTTATTGGCCCAGTTCCCCAGAAATGCATTCCAGAAGATATATTTTGAGTTGATACATGTAAGACTCTACTATTACTGCTCAATGAGTGAGAAAAGAGATCTAGAGGTATCTGAATTGTTGACTAGAAAGCATCCACCAGAACATGTGCAATGAATAAACAAGATTTTCCTATATAAAGAAAGGTTGAGAGCAGATAAAATTGTTCGCTTGCAACTTTACATTGTGGGTGAACAGGGAGCTTTCAAAGGAGCTGCAGACTTGTATTACCACTGAAGGTAATTCAACTGTCGACCACACGCCAGGAAAGAACCTCTTAAACAGATAATAAGTATTCCTGATAACTGCCAAAGGGCCTTGATATTTCAGCAAGCTGCAAAAGAAAATAAATTTAAAAACTCACATCTTACTCAGGTAATGCATTAACTCCAGATCACTACAGAGAACATTTCAATTCCCACTTCTATAAATATACACCTGTTCTTCATTTGTGAGGCACCCCTAACAACACACATACCCACCTCTATGCACAGAGAGGATCTTATAAACATTATTCTTGCTTTCCTTGTACTTGGGTTTGATTTCTCTATTTTTCAGCAAGCTATTAGATGTCATTAATACTCCCTATAATTTCAATAGTTTGTTCTTTTGGACTAGGTTCAGGCATTGAAGTTAATGTCAAATTGACATTTTTTAGCCTAAACATACTTTTCCCATCTTTGAATAAGTTAAGAATAAGCATTAAAAAGTGTCAAAAATAAATGAACTCGACATTTAGCTTACATATAGTAAAAAGGTATATCAATTATTTGCTGGTAAGTGAGCACACAGGGCAGAGCTGATAAACATCTAACTTTAAGTTTGCTTCTCTGCTTTTTTTGGCAAGGAAAGAGAAAATCTTTATTTGACTACAGTTACTTTGGTTTTCAACTTTTAAACTAGTTTTTTGATATGCCAAATTCAACACATCTTTAGACCTTATTAACTACCTTTCTGTTTGCAACTGTATCTAACATGTTAAATTACAACCAGGTGCAGTAAAACCTTAAAAAAATTTACCTCTGTGGCCCCCATAATAGAAAAGAATATTTACTGACTCTTCTGAACATTGGAATAATGACAACAAGCAAACAGAATTAATATAAAATAGAAACTTCTGTGTACTTACTGGTCAAGTCAGCTTAAAATTAAGCTCTTGCACTCTTAACCCTTAACCCTTAACAACCCTGCGTAGCAAACACTAGTCTCTACTGCAAGGCTCTATCTAAACCAGTGGCTGTCAGTTTTGGTAAGTTTAAGCATTGGATGGAATGTTTATTGAAAAACCACATTCCCAGGACCCACACCCTTAAGGTCTGAAACAGCCCTCAGGAATCTGCACTTTCATCTGTTTAGGTGACTTTGAAATGATAGTTCAGGTACTGGACTTTTTTTTTTTTTTTTTTTTTTTGAGACAGAGTTTTGCTCTTGTTGTCCAGGCTGGAGTGCAATGGCACAATCTTGGCTCACTGCAACCTCCGCCTCCCAGGTTCAAGTGATTCTCCTGTCTCAGCCTCCTGAGTAGCTGGGATTACAGGCACATGTTACCACACCTGACTAATTTATGTATTTTTAGTAGAGACAGGTTTTCATCATATTGGTCAGGGTGGTCTTGAACTCCTGACCTCAGATGATCCAGTCACCTCGGCCTCCCAAAGTGCTGGGATTACAGGCATAAGCCACCGCACCTGGGCTCAGGTAATGGACTTTGAGTATCACTGACTGCTATGGTTTTAATATGTCTCCAAAACTCATGCATTAGAAACTTAACCCCGAATGCAACAGTGTTGGGAGGTGGGGCATACTGGGAGGTATTTAGGTTATGAAGGTGGAACTCTCATAAAGGAATTAGTGCCTCTTTATAACGGGCCTCTGGAAGTGGTTTCTCTCTTTTTTGCTCTTCTGCCATGTTGAGTACATAACATTCATGCCCTTCCACTGCCACTGAGTGAGGCAAGAAGCCCATCACCAGACACCAGACGCCGGCACCTTGATCTTGGACGTGCCAGTCCCCAGAGCTGTGAGAAATAATTTTCTGTTCATATAAATTACCCAGTTTATAATATTTTGTCACAGCAGCACAAAACAGACCAGGATCCTGACCTACATTATTTCAAGTAGGAAAGATAATTGTATTCTTCTTAATACTTACATCTAGACACATGCTAAGTGCTATATATTATGTTAAATCATTTAATCTTCACAAAGATGCCATTTATGAAATATTATTGATTACATTTTACAGATTCAGAGAGTTTAATAAACTGTTCAACACATTATAAACATCAGGTTCCAAGTAAGAGGTGTCAGTTAGATTCTAAAGTCTTCCCTTTCCTTTCCAATGCTGTATCTCCGTATATCAAAGCAACATAATTAATTGCTATTTTTTAAAAAAAATTGTTCAAGCACAAACTTACATTACAAAACCTTTCAGATTCTTCAGATTTAATAAATAAAATCATTCCTTTCACCAAGCTCTCCTGTATCAGTGTAATAGCAGCTCAGACTCTTGCCCAGTGGTCAACTTCTCAGCTAATCAAAGATCTTGGTTTAATGTAGGCCAAACCAGGTCCCCTGTGTCCTTATATATCCTTTTGCACTTTTCAGGCTTTTTAGATACGTTATCTCATTTTATTCTTCTAACGGCACTAATAGATCACACAAAATAGATGCCATCTTTGTCTGTTAATACCAAAAATCACAACAGGGTTCTCACTTTGCTCCTAATTCAGAAGCATCATCATCTCAGCCCTTTAACTCTCATATGCAGAATTTATTTGAGCTGCTCCCCTGCCCTGTGAGCTTGGCAGCTTTGTGTCCCTGTGTAACCTCATGACTGCAGCCTTCATCCCAGGGTGCCAACCTACTCAGCCAAAGATGACATTAACAGAGGATCTGGCTGAAATGCCTTGACATTATTTTTCTCTGGGAAAGGTGTGTAATTGCAGAAAAACTGCTCCCCAATTATTCAAATTTAAACATTTTATCTGATGGAAATGATATCATTTACATATTTTGTTTCCCAGTTTAAAATTGTGGTTTCATATCTTTTGTGCTTGTATATCTGAGAGTTATATTAAATTTAAAATAGCTGAGTGTATTGGCTCACTCCTGTAATCTCAGCAGTTTGAAAGGCCAAGGCAGGAAGATCACTTGAGGCCAGGATTTTGAGACCAGCCTGGTCAAAATGACAAAACCCCATCTCTACTAAAAATACAAAAAATTATTCAGGCGTGGTGGCGCATGCCTGTAATCTCAGCTGCTTGTGAGGCTGAAGCACTGGAATGACTTGAACCTGGGAAGCAGAGGTTGCAGTGAGCCGAGATAGTACCCCTACACTCCAGCCTGAGTGACAGAGTGAGACTCTGTCTCAAAAAAAAAAAAGAAAAAAAAATTACAATGGCTAGCCCTGGATCCATTTGGTAACAATCTCATTCTAATGTATATCTTTACACAGGGCAAATTTTACCAGAAGCCTTTTAACGATAACATTTTACGAATTCAAAAGAGCCTAGATCTGGCAAGTGCTTGGCTGGCAGAAGTGAAATGTATGGTGTGTTCAAGAAGCATCAATTATGGCTGACTGACTGGACCCTGAGTTAAAAGTCAGCATGGAGAGAGAAAAAAATAAATCATCCTACGCCTTTCAAATACACATTGTAATGTCCCTTCTACTTCCACTTGACAAATCTATAAGGAAATATAGGTTGGGGAGCATGTGTATGTGTCCAAATGTACTTCGCAAACAAAAAAAAACAGATAAATTATTACATCATTAATTAACAGTGGTATTTACCAAAACACATAACATCTTATGTCAATTTAAAGACCTGTTGGTCTATTGAGGAGTAGTTTGTAACTAGCTAAGTTCATTGATAAGCTAAAATCAAATGTCATAGGATCCTGGTCTTCTTTGAAAGATTGCAATAGAAATACAATGTGATGGGATTTTTATATGTTTATTATAACCCAGATGTACAGTAAATCAGAGCATTGCTGAATTTAAATTATACCATCACATCCTCAACAACGATATAAATATTGAAGGAACAGAGAGATAAGCAAGCTATATGACCAATATCTAACAATAAATAGGTATTAGGCTTTTACTTTAAAAATTAAGGGCAAATTATTTAAAATATTAGAAAAGGTAGCAAGATACTTGATAAAGAATAGTGTGAACTGACGTCTGTCTTCCACATCCCTGCCCATTACCATTCCCAGTAGCTAAATCAACTTTAGTCAAGGTTAACTAACTCCTTTATATGGCCACACAGGAGTCCCTTGGCTATACAATTTGCACTTTAATCCTCTGGAAGTTGCAAGAGGCCAAATGAAATCCTCACATTCAGCCAGAGGGAGGAGAGAAGAAAGCCATAATTCAGACCTCCCTGTAATATATTAAGAGAAATCTGTCTTTTTTTTCAGTGTCATTGCCTTGGAAGGTAACCCCTTCTTGACCCTAGCATTTAAAAGCTAGGTTGGTGCATGTCCAACATCAGGGTCACAGCCATTTTTCTGCTACTCAGTTCATCTTGGAACTGAAAGATAGTTTCTTCCCGCCATCAATCATTACCCAAGGTAAGTGTCACAGTATATGGGTGCATAAGGTAAAAACAGATGAATATTAATTGGTTCATTTTATAGCACCAAGTACAATGAACAAAAGGCCTGGAGCTCAGAGTTGGAAACTGAAAGTTTCCAGGAAGAATCAAAATATACCAAATTCTCAATAGCTATTTCCTTATCTTCTGACGTGTGCTAAATTGTACTACCAAATGTCAAATATGCTGAGTAGCCTTGGAAACAGGCTGCAATTGTGAACTGTTAGTCTACCAGAGAGTCAGGATCCCTAGCTCCATCACCAGTATGAGCAGGATAATGGGCAGATCATTCTGTTTGCTTTCATCTGTTAAACATAGGTAGTAACACCTAGTATATTTACAGCACAGATACATTAGAATAATTCAGTATAAAAAGTGTAAAATCAGCTGGAAAAAGTTAAAAGTGCTATTTAATTATAATGTTATGATGACAAAGAATGTGACCCATAACATCCCCAAAGAAATTTAGGTTAAATTTAATATGTGGACTGTTTACTGGTAAACATGGTAGAATCATGAATAAGCCATTATTCTATGGAAAACAATGCAAAAATTTATATTAACTTCTTTTACTCAAAGGGTACTCTTTCTGTCATCCACTCAAATAGTACTGTCTAGCCAGAAATGAGTTTATTTTTAACACTATACAGGAAATAGCACCTCACATATATGTCAGTTTCAGTCATGTGGTCATGATTAATAGTCATCATCTGATAGGCAGGGTGGAATGGTGATGTGAACATGGGATTTCGGGTTATCCCTGGATCCACATCTGTATTCTGGTGCTTTCTAGTTGTGTGACATTGGGGAACCTTCCACTACTTGACCTTCAGTTTCTATTGCCTGTGATTGTAATAAAAATGCTTCTCACAGGGTTGCTGTAAAGATTAAATAAGAAACTGGATGTAAAAGTGATTTGTAAACTGTAAATTGTTTATAAATATTGTTATTATTTCTATATGGATATAGAGGGCTCATAAATATGCCGTCTATTTCTGGAAATTTAAATAACTTGTGTAAGTTTTTGTCTCCAACCTAATTTCCCAGATATCTTTAAATACTTCTCACAATGAATTTCCATTCTACTCACTGAAAGTGAAGTCATCGTCCCCCATCTTGTGCATTCTTGCCTTTTTGCTTAGTTTGCATGCAACACTCTCTCTTCCTATATCTACATGAAAAATTCTTGATGATCTTCTCTATCCATCCTTTAAGTCCCAACTCAAATGCCACTTCCTCTCTGAAGCCCTCGCTGATTATTAGTTTCCATATATTAATCTCCATATATTGATCTCTTTTCTAATCCTTTTGTTGCTTGAACTCTCAACGCACTTCTTTTTGCTGCCACTCATTTACCATTTACCATATACACATTCTTTTTCACAGTTATCTTTTCAAACAAAGTTTATACATCTTATCTCTACCATTAGAATACAAGGTCCTTGAGATTAAAGAACATGAGTTAGACCTTTCTAGTCCCAACAAATCTAGGGAGGTGTCTTATAAGCAGTAGTAAATGTGTGTGATGACTGATATAAATGAAGTAAATGAAAATGTAATGACTAATATAAAAATTGGCACAAACATCTATTCCATGCAACAGGAAGATGTTTTCAAAAATAATATTACATTCCAAAATGATTTTCCAGTGGCAATTTGCATAGTGTGCCATTTCAGTGCACATGTTTAACAGAATTAGCAGAAGAGAGACTGATATAAGACAACCCATTTTAGGATTTAGAAGGCTACCACAGATTAAAAACTAAACCAATTTCTGTTCACAGGGGAGAAACATTTAGGAAGCCGCAATCTACAGTAACTTTGGGAGGAATCTGTCCATTATTGACTAAATTAAAACATGAGTCATTGAAGAAAAAGAATAAACTCAAGCAACTGGCTAAGTAATAATGAAAAATAAAATAATAAAACTTGGCTGAAAAAAGATAATTACAGTCCACATTTCAAATAAGAAATTATAAAATAAAAACAAATAAAACAAATTACCTTACATAAGCAAGTGATCCCCATCTGCCAGCTCATTTGCTATGATAATGAGAACTTGTTGCATTCTAGTTACCTAAATTATCATATCTACTTCCATCTACATATAAATATACATCTCAATGTAATGGAAAAGAAATGGTTTATTCAATTACTGGATTTCCGGAGCTAACAATTGTTACAATTTAGTTAAGTGTCAGACACCATGCTAGGCATCTTTACAAACAATTTATTTTTAATCCTTTCAATAGTAATCTTTTGAACTCCTTAACTGCTTATCTCCTTTATCATTAATTTAACAATAATTCCTATAATATTTTATGATGTCTCTTCTATTAGTTGCTAGAACTACTATTCTGCTCTCTTTCTGCCATTTGTTCATTCATTTATTCATTATGGCTAAATACTTATTTATTGGCTATTACATGCAAAGTACCATTTTTAGCTCTAAACAAAGAGTAGTGGAAAAAGTCCATTACCCAATGGAGCCTTCATGTTGTTACTCAATTCTGTGCACTGTGTAGTCAAACTAGATTGTTAGTTTCTTGGAAGCTATTTATTTAATTTGATTTCTTTGTATCCTCTGGTGTCTAGTACAGTAAGTACTTAATTCAAATTGGCATGCAATACATATATGTTACTTCATTTTAACATGTTTTAAATATTATTGGATTAAATGACATTTATTCCTCTACTTTAAACATTATAATAACACTACATCAAATTCTAATTATCAAGGGAGGACTCAGAGGAAAGTCTAATAAGCCATTATTCATCACACTACATGTACTTCCTGGTACCCCAAAAGCTTGTCCCCATTGAAACACAATTATTAATGCAGATTGCCAGGTTGGGTTTCTGTTCTAGTTGGAACAACATCTGTGTTTGTAATGGCCATAATGTAGCTAACTGTGAATTTTTACCATGATTTTCAGTAACAGAATAAACATTCTCTTGACATTTCTACACGACAAGACTATGAAGGCTATTTTTAAAGTATTTTGATAAGATTTGGCATTTGAAAATACGAACTCAATTTAATATGAAATGGACGAATTTCACTTACAATTATAGTTTTAATCTGAGCTGCTATAACAAAAGTAGCTCAAACTGGGTGACTTAAACCACAAACATTTACTTCTCACAGTACAGGATGCTGAAGGGTCCAAGGTCAAGGTGCCAGCAGATTTCACATCTGGTGAAGGCCCACTTCCAGGTTCACAGGTGGCACTCTTTTTACTGTGCCATTGCATGGCAGCAGTGACAAGGGAGACCTCTGGGGTCTCTTTTGTAAGAGACCCTTTTGTAAAGGGACTCTTTTGTAAGGGAATCACATTCATGAGGGTTTCACTCTCATGATCGAATCACCTACTAAAGGTCTCACCTGAATATACATTGAGGGTTAGGATTTCCACAAATGAATTGGGAAGGCGGAATAAACATTTAGTGCACTACAACAGTTTATATGCCCACTGTTCTCTTCACTTTTCTCAGCCAGACAGAAGCTAGGGTAATATTTTTAATTCCTGGTGTCCATAACGTCAGCAATTACCCGATGTTGTTTTCTTCATCACGCTTTGAAAGGCAGCACAGCATAGGTTAAATGCATGGTTTTTGAGCCATGGTTTCAGATAAAAAATAGGTTCCTCTCTTTGGGACTTTTATGAGACTTATTTTATACAAACACATATAAACATGGGTATGTTGTTATATAAATCTTGGGCATAAGTGCATGAGTATGGGAGCACAAAAAAAATTTGGCTTAGCCACATTACCGTTAAAGAAAGTTGGATGTGGATCGACACAAATAACATGAAGGCTGGGAGCTGGGAAGGGAAGGCATGTTTGCAGAGTAAAGAAAGATGAAGCCATTCTGTTCTCAAAAATCAAACATGTAAACTGTTTACAGTTATATTTAATCCCCCAAAACAACATAGTTATTAATCTGTATCTGTTTATATCACACATAAAGAAACCAGAAACAGAAAGTTTTACTAATGTACTCAAGTTCATATGATGATTTAATTCAGGATTTGACAATGAGTACAAAGCTAGATGGCCAACCAAGGACGCTCACTAATTGCAGTATGAGGAAAATAAGAGCCCTTCTGCAGAGTTTCCAGCTCAAAAGCTTTTAAGAGACAAGCCCTTTGTATGTGTATAAAGATGTGTGTTTGCATTCATGTGCCTGCGTGTGTGTGAAATAAAAATTTCATACTTGAGAGAACTATGGAAAATAGCACAGTAACTCAACAGAGCCATTGACATTTGATATTCTTCCTTCCCTCCCTTCCTCTCTCCCTCTCATCCTCCATCTCTTCTCCCTTCTTTCTTTCTTTATCACTAAGCTGATTAGATAAAACAGACCATTTCAAACCTCTGCTTTAGGATGCGTTGCAAATATGTTAGTTTGCATATATAAAACTAATATATAAAAGTAAATATAAAAATATATTTATAAATATATTCATAAATACATAATATAAAAGTAAATATTAAAATCCTACAACTTCCACCATTGTGAATGCACTAAAACACATTCAAAGAATTAAAAATTTGGAGGCTTGGAGGTGTAAGATTAGAGACTTGTAATCTTTATCCTTCAACTATCACACATGTTTGACTATCATATTTGAGTTGTCTTCATCCCTCAACTATTATTATTTTCTGTTCATTAAACCTCTTACCATAATTCCAGTTTAATAATCCATGCAATGGTTTGAATGTGGGGGAAAATAATATTGTTTGGTCAGTATCATCAGTATATTCAAGCAAAAAATTAAAAAAAAAAACAAGTATTTCTATTTCAAAATAAATATCTTATTTAAAATAAGTTTCGTTTTCCGGCTGGGTGCGGTGGCTCATGGAACCTGTAATCCCAGCACTTTGGGAGGCCGAGGCAAGTGGATCATGAGGTCAGGAGTTCGAGACCAGCCTGGCCAACATAGTGAAATCCTGCCTCTACTAAAAATACAAAAAATTAGCCATGCATGGTGGCATACGCCTGTAATCCCAGCTACTTGGGAGGCTGAGGCAGGAGAATCGCTTGAACCGGGGAGGCGGAGGTTGCAGTGAGCCAAGATCACACCATTGCACTCCAGCCCAGGCGACAGTGCAAGACTCTGTCTAAAAAAAACAAAAACAACAACAACAACAATAACAACAATCATTTTTCATTGGATTTATTCTTGATTGGGATTATTAGCATAAAAGTATCTGAGAAATTGCACATAACTCAATTTCTAGGTCTTTATCTCTCTCATCCTGAAAGGCTTCCTTAGGCCAACTTTGCCTACTTAAATGCTTTCCTTATTTCAAGACCCTGTTCATTCAGTGGCTTTCCTGAAGTCTCTCTGTCATCCCAAATACACTGCTTGGAGCAACAGAAAAGGTAAAGCTGAGAGAGCCATCAACTATGCCCACAGTAGCCCTCAGACGTGTACAAATACACACAGATACATGTTTAAAGAACAAATTACAAAACTGGTCAATCATTAAACTCAGGGTAACACATTTTCAGCCTGCACAAGATACCTAGATGTTTGGCTCATGCCTTTGCTGTAGATCTGTCCAGCAAGTGGTCTGATTTTTGGATCAGAACATGCAATTTCTGTATAACTGACACACAGATATATATATTGTCTTTCAACTTTTTTTTTTTAACCACATCTTGAACCTTGGAGGAGTTACAATGGGAAACTTCATTTTCGAAACTCCCACAAGTAAAATAGTGCAAAATTCATATAAAACCAGTTACAACATGTCTCTTTCAGGGTACCTCCCTCCCTCCAATGTAAGCTACAAATCAGCCACATTAACAAAGGTCGCGCTGCATCTTCCAGTTAATTTGAACTCTTTCCCTATTTGCTTCCATCTGTGAGCAAACAAAACATCTCCAGTCCTTAAGGGGCGCCTCCCCAGCATTAGCTGCTACTTTTATGCCATACTGTTGGTATGGTAGCTAGGAAAAAAATGCAGTGCCTGAAACAGGTATTTGCATTCCTATCTACATCAAAGGGCTGAATTTTTCTTTCATGGGACTTAGTGTTTTCCAGAACACAAAAGATCCATGCTTAGCCACAATATTACATTTTGCATTTATAAACCACTCTTCCCAGTTTCTCTGAGATCTCCTGCATGTCCAAAGACACTCAAGCACTTCACCAAAGAGATTCTCTGTTCCTGTTATCAAGTATTTTAATACAAGATAACAATTACAGTTTAGAGAAATGCTAGAAAAATGCACGGAAAGCTCCCAGGTGCCACTTAACTCTCCTTCCTTGCTGCATTCCCTCTCCCACCCCATCACTGAAACCTGAGCCAGCCAATTAGATGAACAGCTTGTCACTCCTAGATGCAGTGCAATGTCTGCATCTTACTGCAGCTGTTAGGACTGACAATTCAATTCCAGTCTGCAATCCTACAACAAAGACTCTCTCGTCTGGTTCCTGGGAGTCAGAGATTCTCCTTGTTCATCTTTGAACCTCAAAAATATGGATTTATCCTGGAGCACTCAGAAGGCTTAAATCTGTATAAATAGATAGAAACATGGAAATTGTGACCCTAGTTTAGCCACTAGATGACTCAGCTGGAGTGGACTCTTCGGCTTCCAAGGACAGCTCACATAGCTGCTCTCTCAGAATATACCTTAAATTCCCAATCACAGAGCAGGGTGCCCTAAGAACCATTCAATTTCCCTAGGCCTGTGAACAGCAGATTTTTGCCTTGGCAGGTTGGATAATCTACAACACTCTTTCATATGTCTGTCCTGTTATAAAATCAGCTCTAGTTTGTACTGGGCTCTAGAAAGCATTAGAGCTAAGAACAGGATCCTGAAGCATGTATTTCAGAGATAACTACCCTTTACTAACAACAAATATGTAGCATACAGATTCCTCTGAGGTGCAGTAACCACTTTTGTATTTATAGTTATTAAAAGAAGGGAAAACAAGAAATCAAGGGCCACCTCATTTCTCATATAATGTGTTCTCCTTTGTGCCTGACAGACAGACGAGGACTACATGAAGCATGAATCCTCAGGATACCCAGTCACTAATTTTTTAAAGTGGAATGAGTCCTAAGTGTCAAGGGGTTTTAAGTAAAGTGAAAATTAAAGCAGTTAAAAGGAAGTTATACTTACCACTTGCTATTTACTGGACCTTGTGGTATGTTTTTTTTCATACATTATTTTATTTTACTTCATAAAACCCAATTAATTTTTTCCTCATAAACATTTGGGATAGATATTTTTACTCATATTTTACAGGTAGAGAAAGTTGATATACATTAATATGGGTGTTAGTATCTGAGAGAGGTTAAACAACTTCCCGAAACTAGTGAGTAGCAGAGCTGAAATTAAAAACCTCAACTACTACACACCAGAATTATTTAACAGAGTTGAATTGTGATTTTTGCATTTCTCGGGAAATGTCCCTTGGTGAAAACTCTGAGAAGAGAAAAATGTCTGAATTTCTTCTGCAGGAGGTCTCTAGGCTCCCACTGCTCTTTAAAAATGGTGATCATAATATAAGGGATATACGTCCAATGAATCTAGTATTCCATAGACTCTATCAATCTTTTGCCCAATCTTTGCTATTCTTCAAAATTTTCTGAAGCTATAATTTGGGCATCTCCCTATCATTTACTGCATTATTTCTAGGCTAGATGTTAGTGGCAAAATAATTAAAAAATATGGAACCCCAAAATTGAGGGTCTTCACAGCAAAAGGAGGTGATAAACATACAATTCCCCATAATACAATTAATTCTGATATATCAGCACTATGAGCAGAGTACTAAGAGATCATAAAGGAAGAAGTAATAGCAAATTGAAAACAATCTAAATCAGCAATAAAATATTGGTCAGGTTAATTATGATATATCCACACAATGGAATACCACATAGCCATTAAAATCATATTGCAGCAGAATATTTAATGATTTGGGGATACGTTTCATATACATTGTTTAGTAGACAAGCAGGCTGTAAAATAAAAGCAATATAATTTCATTTAAAAATATATTGGAAGAGTGAGAACACTTTAGCAAATGTTAATAATGGTTATATTAATATAAAAAGGTTACCATTATTGCTTCTGCTTTTTGCTTTTTTATGTTTTGTATAGTGAATATGCTTTTCTTTTGTAATTAGAAAAACATTCAATACAGTTTAAAACTCAAATCATGTTAACAAAGACTTAACAACAACAAAAATCAATTTGAAATTCTTTCGAATTGGGGAAAGTAAAATTCCTAACACACTTAAGATTTATTTCCACAGATGGCCTCATGAGCTACAAATACCTCACTCATAAATCGTCTTGCCTTGAATTTCCACTCAGTGTTCTGATATCATGCCAGATGTGGGATCTTGCCTTGGTCCAACTCCTCCTTTGTAATTTTAAAGGCCTCTCACACTTGGGATGCTGAGCTAGAGTCATTCTCCTGCTTGGTAGCTTTTGAGAGTGAACAGATCACTTCGCTGTGTATTGTCATTCAGTTAGTAGATGTTTCTGGCTGCTTCTTCAACCCATACAATATACCTTTCCTACCAAGAAATGTGTGACTTCTATTCTCTCAGCCTTGGTGTAAATCCCTGAAAGTGTTAAGGAGAAAAAAAGAGCAAGAATCCTCCAAGATCTATAATTGCACAGGCCCCAGGAAAGAAGCATAAAGAAAACAGTAACTAAAAACAAATGCAGAATAAGACCTGAAATACAATATTTGACCACAGTCTAAAAGTAAAAGCTTAGAAACTGGTCAAGGATGTCATGTGTCTTGTCGGTTTTGAAGAACTATTATTCAAAGCTTTCCATTTAATTATGGCCAAAATGCCCAGGTCTGTTTTTCTTCAAAATCCAGTGTTCTGATGACTAGCTACATTACCCATGCATCTTGAGATATGCTACTGGGAAAAGAGGAAGAACAGTTTAAATTATTGTTATGTGGAAAGTCGGGATTATTAACAACCAACGAATCTAGGAGGAAAGCCAAAATCTGTGAAGAAGGCTTTCAATGCCTCTGGGCCAGCTCATCTGAATTCAAGAACTGGAGAAAGATTTTCACTTATAAAGTTACCCAGAGGGCCTGGGGAAGAGGTGAGTGTCTTCCAGCAGCTGAGCATAGATCAGTACCTGAGATCATTTACAACCTGCATGGCTGTGGTCAGACCCTAATGCAGCCTGGGCTGCAGACACAACGTGGTCAGGGTACCAACAGGAGACTCAGTGAAAAAGGAGACTGTTTCTGGAGAGGCCTCTGAATGATCAGCTGCATACCAACCACTGTGTTTTCGGGTTTGTTTGTGTGCGTGTGTGTGTTTCCTAGTGTGCACTGAAAAACATCCTAATTTATACATGCTCATATATCACCAGCTTGTTAATTCAACACTAAAGCAAAAAGATGACAGGAATACAAGTTCTTGCTTCATTTTTTCTGTTTTCTCTCTAATTTGTTTGGTAGATGAATGGAGCATGCACAACATTTCAGATGTTTACTCAAATACAAGATCCATTGTGATGATCTTTATTACTTTTGTAATACTAAAACCCACAGTTGTGCTTAATCATAAGATCCTCTAGGGTGACACTCTCTAAATTAAACTACCAAGAATTTATATTTTAAGTCAAGCTGTCTCCTGGGTCTTAATAGTATCTGATCCAGAAAAGAAAAAATGAGTGTTAATAGCAGGGCATACAGTACTATATAAGGTGCTTTAATCATCCTAATGAAGGAAATGAAGATGATGAAATATTCCTGGGAAACTTTTTCATATGCAATGAAGCCTGTGATGAGAAGGAACCTTTAGAAATAGTTTTATTATTTGGGTAAATATTTCTAGACTTATATTCCCTTATTGATATACTCAATATCAGAAACTTAGATTTATTATTAGAGATTTTTAATCCATGATTCAAAATTGTAATAATTATTTTAGTTGTAGCTCTTTATATAATGAAATTAAACTACCTGATGCATATTAATGAATAAATAAATGCACTTAGTCAATCTGACTAGAAAAAGATATTAATCACGTTGTATGGCTTTATATGGTAAAACATTAGCTGGCTAGCTAAATATTACATTTTTAACTTGGCTGGGAGATTATATATAATATACAAAAAAGAAACCAAAACTATCTAGACAGCTAAAGAAGCAAACAATACACATGAACACTATTTTAAAATTGAGGTAATTAAGAAAAAAAGAATACATATGTGTGTGTGTGATGAGGTATTACTCATCCATTCATTCATTTATTAAAAAATATTTATTGGGCAACCTGCTTGGGTCCCCTTTCATGCCGTGGAAGCTTTCTTCTTTTGCTCTTCACAATAAATCTTGCTGCTGCTCACTAAACAAAAAACAAACAAATAAACAAAAAAACTGTTGAACACCTGATACAGGGTAGGCACGATTCTAGGTGGTAGGATTAGAATAGTGAGCAAAAAAGTCAAAGTAACTGCCTTTGTGGAGCTTGCTTCCTGATTATCAGGTTACGTAATAATTATCCACACTTGGATTTGCACATTCAGATTTAGATTACTGTAAATACAAAGCCACCATGTGTGTGAATTAGAGTAATAGAAAGAAAATCAGAAAATCTGGTTTTCAATATTATCTCGATGTGACCTTGGCCTTGTCATTTAATCTCTGAAAAACCTTTTTTTTTTAACCTATTAAATGTGTTGGTTGGTATTATCAAAAATAAAGTTCTGTAATTTTGTGTTTCCTGATAGAAGAAAAATATGTTTGGGCTCATGTTTATAGTGTTTATATGTGGAAAGTTTTCAACAACTTAAAAAAAAAAACCCACAAAACTCTAATTGCAATCAACAGCAAACTGAGACAGGTATTGCAGTACTTAAGTAAAGTGATGGGTAGCTCTTGGCAAAGTTCATGAGAAAAATCACCACACTGATTACAGGTATTGTAAAGGGTTGTCAGAAACAGCAAGTAAATTGCAGAGAAAGAGATCCACAAATCCTTTCCTTAAAATCACTACTATTATCACGGTGTTAACTGGGTAATTTTTCCAGCACAAGGGGCAAATGCATTTTTAAAAAACATAATCAGTTAAATGGTACACATAGAAAATGCCCTTCTTACAACAGCCAATCTGAGGTTATTCTATTAAATAAAATAAGCAAAAACACAAAAATAAAAGCCCACATTACATATAACTACAAAAGTTATCTGTTTAGAAGATAGACTTTATTTTTTCAGCTTTGTAAAACAGACTTAAGAACAGAATACAGAAATCTCAGAAATCAAGTCTCATACAGACCTAAGCAAACCTCATTAATATTCAAGATAATATTTGTAAAAATAAACTTTGAATTAATCATGTTTGCATTATCTGGTATTTTCATTAAAGAACAAGAGAGCATGGAGTTGACTATAAAATGAAATTTGTTTCTAGTTGCTTATGATTTAAACAAACCAGCGTCAGATTAAAGAGCTTTTACTCTCAGTACCATAGAAGCTTTGTCTTGGGGTGTCCTGGGCACAGTTTATGATCTAGAGTCAGTGTGGATCATATTTCCCATAAATTACAATCCATTTGAGGAAACTGCTTCTTTAACACTGTGTCACTGCTTGTATACCTAGCGAGGACCTGTTAATGTGATTATTCTTTGTACTCTTTTACTCGATCCCTTAACAACTTTTATTTGTGCTGTGATTCATGTTTTCAAAGTGCTTTGATTTCCATTACGTGGTTTAATCCTCAAACACTTCCTTGAAGTAGATAAGGCAGCCATCAAGTTCTCTGAGCCTCAGTTTCCTTATTTATTATATGGAAATAATAGTAATAACCTTAGCTGCGCGTGGTGGCGCCCGCCTGCAATCCCAGCTACTTGGAGGCTGAGGCACACATACCTTATCATAAGGTTTTTGTGAAGATTAAATGAGATAATAATGATAAGGAGGATGATAGTTACATTTCTTGGTCATTTGCTATGTGCTAAAAACTATTTTAATTGTGCTACACTGTTAACTTATTTAATTCTTCATTGTGACCCTAAAAAACAGGTGCTATTATTTCCTCATTTTATATTTGAGAAAACTGAGTCACAGAAAGGCAAAACAATTTGCCCAACGTTACAAAAAAGTGACCGATCTAGTTAAATAATGACAGAAGCCACCTAGAATTATATTAACACTTGAAATAATATTACTTCCCTCCATTAGTAAACACAATTTCACATCAACTAATGATTTCTACAAGACTCCAATATAGTCATTTTAAATCCCTAATGGAAATAAGGGTAACAAAAATTATTCAGCATACATTCTATCTATTCTAAATAAGTTGCTTTGATCCTGTACTTAAAGAAAAATAAACAAGTAACTGAATCTTAATTCATCAATATCCTATATATAGTCATAAATATCATTTGTTCAATTTAAAAGAAATTAGAATATGGCCAGAAAGAGTCAGGCAAGAGGACTAAATAAATAAGAAGTATTCTAAGTATTTTAAAATGCCTTTTGGAGCTCATGGATTTGGAAGGGGTTAGAAAAAGAGAGCTGACATTTGGGAACCTTTATAAAAAAAGGTCTTAAAAAAAATCTATGAAGCAAGAATTATCAAGTATCTTTTAAAAGATATTGTTTGTCAAAAACCCTTATACTTAAAGAGATATAATTCCTTATTGGATTATATTTAATTTTTTTTCCAAAAGCAAAACTGCTACTTATGAAGTCATCTGTTAAACAATTTATATTTTATTCTAAGCAAAATTCCAGTTACAACATACATGCTTTGTGAAGACACAGTCAATGTGTTAACACTAAAGTATCAATGCCTAGGCTATAATTAGTATTCAATAAATGCTTCAATTATGAAATATGGAAACAAGCTCCTGCTAGTCTATCAACAGTTATAAAATGCATCATTACACACACACACACCTACACATCCTTCCGTATGGCTAAAAACAAATTTTAAGTTGTTTTTCTTCTGCCAAAAACTATCAAAAAATAGATCATGATGATCCCCAAAAGATCAATCACTCTTTATATTTTAAAAATACATCTTAAAAAAACCTAACACCTAGATAGTGATTTTCAAGTACAGGGTACACATATTGATTAACATAATGGGAAAATTAAAGCATTTATAAAGTGCTCTAAGGACTAATCTACTAAGAAGATTTATGTTTTTAATTAAACATTTTACCATGGCAATATATAAGAAGAAGATCTTGGCTCCACTGTCAGACTTAATAAAGCTAGCATTGCATGAATCAGAAGAGGAGACAGGGGTTTTGAATAGAGAAAGGTGGGTAGATGAGGGGAAAGAATATTGAGTTGGGCTGAAATCCTCATCCTGTTAACAAGTCCCTGAATTACTGTCAGCGTTATTGTTAAGCCACAGGGTATCTCTTTACAAATTAGAGAAAGGTTACACTTTATCAAGACCCATTATTTCTATCTGTGGAAAACTGTCACAACATACTTATTATGGAAACAGAATCTGTATCATTATTTAACTCCCTTAAACTTAATAATCAACAGATCAACAATATCCATGATGCAAATAGCATACTGTTAGATGTAGTGACATTGTGCACTGTACAAACAAGCATGCATGCCTGATTGTCATGTTTGAGACAGAGACTTCTTCATCTTATTATAGACACTTATATGACTCATAATGTCCTTCTGCTACTAAAAAAGAGCCTGAAAATTTGGCCTACATTGTTTCAGAAAACTGAGTCCCAGTCTTCTCAGCATTTCCACTTATCCTAATAAGTTAACTTATAATAAGGTAATAATTTGCTTTACCTACTTATAAGATAGTCTACTTCTGAGGATGACAAAATTTAAGGACTGGCTTTCTGAGTTTGAATTGCACACAAAGTATTCAATTGCTTTTCCCTACAGATGCAGAAAACCATCAACCATGTCTATGTGTGTGTATGTGTATGTAAATAAATTTATGGCTTGTTTTCCCTTCCATCTTTTCTTGAAATAATGTTTTGACATTAGTGTACCTTAATACATCAATATGTTTTTGGTTTGATTATGTTTTTCCTGTTACTGAATGTCCTTTTTGGATATATGTTAGTTCTTAGAAAGGCTGGCTATCACCTAGTGTCTATAACGTTAAGAAAATGCCTGCCTGTTAAATATAGAGACATAAAGCAAAACAACAGCTGAGCACTTGCATCATTGTTCTGGAGGGCAACACTGATTACCCACTTTAGTTCTGACTCCAATAATACAACTTCTATCTATTAACTAAATAAGCAGTATTTTATTTAAATGAAGACTGGTATGTTTTAGAAAAGTCATCTCAGGATTATAGAGCTAGTGTATTTACCAAATTATCCTTTTCTCTGACCCAAAGAGTCTTGAGTGCATGGTTTATGACAGTTTGTTGAACACACTGTGCTGGAAGTAATTATTATCCATTATTTTTAGAAGGGTCTAATATGCTACTGTGAAACCTTTTTTTCCCCTGCATCAAAAGAATAATATTATTTTACTACTAGTCATATATTAAATTTCAAAACTTGATAAAGCATTATGATCCCTCTAAAATATAATGATTTATAACTTGTTTTCCCCTCAATTTTAAGTTGCATTCTTATATTCTATTTCTTTTAATTTCTAATAATCATATTTTCATTGAAACGATCTTTGTTTTGATTATAAATTCTCTAAGAACTGGATGATCTCTATAATTGAATTATTATTTCCGAAATTAGGTTGAATAGCTAGAGTTTATTCTGTGTCCCTCAATAAGGTATACACTTTACAAAGTTTTTCTCATTTGATCCACAGAGCATTTTAGTTTGGGTAAAATAATTATGCTCATTTTGCAGATGCAAAGTTAAAATCTGCATAGTAAGTTGTGCAGTTTCTTAAAAGATGAGGGAAGTGTCACAATCTGTAGAGCTAGGATGTGAACCCAGGAAGCCTAACTTCAGACCTGGGGTCTTAGCCACAGTGCAAGACTATGCTAAACGGCTTCAGCAAGGGAGCTTTTACGCATGGTCTTCTGAGGGTAGTTGATATGGCAATTCCAAATGATATGAAAAATAATGAATCAGTGCTTTCCAGCTGTCCTCAATGATTTGCTCCACCTGTCTTCAGGCCTTTCTTTTATCCATCAGCACTCTTCACCCTCTCAGCACAAAGAACAGCCTCCCTCGGGGACTGGGTAGAGTTGCTATCTGACACCCAAAATTCACACCTTGCTTCTTTGCATTCTCCCTGACATCTCTATTCATCAGCTCATCTGTCTGCTTCAGAGTCACAATTCTCTTCAGGTTTGGTTTCGAAAGCGAGGCTCAAAATTTCTGTTGTTCTCTGAGGCTGTGGATCCCTCACACTCACAGGATGCCTCTTTTCGCATGACAGAGATGCCTAAGTTCATTATCCACAGGCTGCTTCTGAGTGAGAGAGATTTCATCCTTTCTAAAGACCTTCTTGACTAAAGTAGTTCTCTTTACCTTTGTCATCTTGCAGCCACTCTCTCGACAGATGAGGCACCCAGCATGTTCTATTTCCATAGCATTTACATATTATTAATAGAAGCAGGCCAGTATCTAAAGGATGACATTGAAGAAGAGTTTTTTTTCACATTTTACCACAGGGCTCTACAAGAAGATGATCTTGCCAGTGTTCTCTTGAAACAAGTTTCCTTTTTCTCAACTCAGAGAAATGCTTTTTATGTAACATTTGTGAAAGATTCTTATGGTCTACTATTTTTTTAAATTTCCTATTGTCGGCCTGACTGGCACTGTGAAATGACATCAATATTGTCAGATTCAACCAAGAGTCATTATAGCCACAATAAAATACCATGTCTCCAGAAACTATTTATTTAAGTATAAAAAGGAATCAAGCATAACTTTAATGAGATTTCTCAGACTGTGTGTCTGCCTGAAAGAAATGTGTTCCCTCTGTCCAGTCAATGAGAGGATCAGAGCTCTTTCCAGCTTTCTCTCATTACCTGCTTGTTGACTAGTGCAGCCTTCAAAAAGATAACCAAAGACTCCCTACATCTCTCAGATGCTATGTAATTTATTGTGATGTAATGTATTGGTCTATAATTATGTCTTCATTTTTTCGTCCACTTTGACTACAAAATCTTCCTTTATCTTTCTTGTTTTCTTTTTTTTTTTTTTTTTTGAGACGGAGTCTTGCTCTGTCGCACAGGCTGGAGTGCAGTGGCGCGATCTGGGCTAACTGCAAGCTCCGCCTCCCGGGTTCACGCCATTCTCCTGCCTCAGCCTCCCAAGTAGCTGGGACTACAGGCGCCCGCCACCACACCCAGCTAATTTTTTTGTATTTTTAGTAGAGACAGGGTTTCACCGCGTTAGCCAGGATGGTCTGGATCTCCTGACCTTGTCATCCGCCTGCCTCCGCCTCCCAAAGTGCTGGGATTACAGGCGTGAGCCACCGCGCCCGGCCTTCCCTTATCTTTCTTACTGTGATTGCATTTACTCTGAGACTTTTAGCTTTATCCTTGACTGTAACTCAGGCAAATTACTAATTACAATCTTCTTTAAACTTCTGATATTGATTTCTGGCTTTATTTTTCTAATCCATGCTGTACTCTGATTTAATAGAAATTTTTAAGAAACACCAATGAAATTAAAGTTTGGCTATTACTTTCACATAATACATATTATTCTTCTTCTATAAAAACAAACATAACAACTCATAAAAAATGACAAGAAATGGAAATAAAACATAGGGATCAAACTGGAATGACTTCTAAAAATAGCTAGAGTTACTGATTTACTATAAAAACTAAACAGAAAGTTTGCAAGTCAAAAATAAGTTTATTCTGATTATTCTTTTGTAAGTTCGCTGTTCGAAATTTTAAATGCACTTATATTCACTACCACATACCAGGAAACATCTTGGTAAACAGAGATTTTTAAATCAGAGTCAGAAAAAAATGTTATCCGGCAGATACAGAAATAAAGTGAGGGATGGAGAGGTTGAGTTACCTTATTGAGACCTTGGCAAGACCAAAAGCACCAATGATCTAGAATGGTGGCTGGTGGTTCTCAAGGTATAGTTAAGGGATAATGTGCATTAGCATCACCATAAATGTTTATTAAAACTGCACACCCTAGAACTCATCTCTGATCTATTGTGTCAGACTAAGAGTGAAACCTGGAAACCTGCATTTCAAAGATACTTCCCAGGTGACTGTGCAACAAAATTAGAGAATTTTTCATAGCTATCAATTTATAGATAAGCAATACAGAATTAGAAAGTGAAAATAAAGACGCAACCCAGTTTGTACATTTAAAATTCTTCTCATCCAGTTGCATGATTTGCATTAGGCATGCCTTGTTTTCGTTTGGCTGTTGGGATAACGGGCCCAGTTATCTTATATCTTGTCTATATTCTGTTACTGTCAGAGAAAAGGCAAATTTAAGTCTTATTTGAAATGTGTGCCTTCATCTGGGTCATAAAAGTTAGGTGTGACCTTTAAGTACTTCATAGAGTCTTAAAAATATGTCAGTTTCACATATATATGTACGTGACCAATGAACTTAATATATATCACCTTTCAGGCTGAACATAAAAGCACATGTACTTTCTTAGTGTAAAATGAGGTAGAAAGGTAAATATTTTAAAACATAATTTGTTCCCCATATTTTTACATGCATGTGCCTATACATATGAAAAAAATTGTGTGTTTTCTTCCTAGAATAAAGAAAAAAACTAAGTAAAAAGGAAAGAAGTCATCAACTGAATGAAGGGAGAGAAAATAAATTCCTGGGAATGTACTGTTCCCAACTCAATGTTCTCAGCCAACAATTGAGAATCATAATTACTATTAGGATAAAAATACTTCAGGCCAGGCCTGAAGTTAGTGATCAGCTGCTAAGAGGAATAGTAGTTATCAACATCATGAGAATAACAGTAGTAACCAAGCAAAGCAATGCGGTCTGTACTTTTCACTGAATGAAACATCAGGTATTTAGATCATGTTTTCTTTCTATAATTTTGCACTTGTTTTCAATTACAGATAATTATGTACTTACAATATTGTTTTATATGTTTTATGGAAGGAAAGAACTCCTCCTAGCTTTAAAGTAAAATAGAGCAAAACTGACTTGACCCCGATTTTCCTTTAAATCCGTATCTCAAAGTATTTTAAATCTGAAGTAAAGACTACTTGTGTCAATGCAACATATATTTTTGTAGACCTTTGTTCCTTGTTGTCCACCACTTCTATGTACTATATCCCTCTCACATCTGCTTTTATATCTATAGCATCCGGCTTGCTTAAGATCCATGATATCTCAAATTAAACTAAGAAATAGAGGCAGTGAAGCTGAATGTACAAAACAGAAAGTTTGATCTTAGTAGACTTTCTTCCAGTACACTGTGTTCTGTTTTGTGATTCACACCCAATGATTTGTGTATTGTAACAACTAGCTCAGATTCCAATGTGGCCAATACTTTCAAACCAGACACTATTCCTAACCAAAAATATGGCAAGTATCCCAAGAACAGAATTATTAATGTAACTGTCTTGTCATTCACTGACTGAAATATCTAATGAGGAAAAGGCTTCTATTAAATATACTATAAATAAGCATTTAACATTTGGAGCTTTAAATGACACAACAGGGAAACATTTGTGTAGACTGAAATCTATTTTTATTGTTGATTGAATCAGCAGTTTGTAAGGCTGCCAGGCAATGGATCAGTACACTTATAGAAAAATTAAATTTAATTGTATTTATTCACTGATGAATAGAAACCAACCCAAGACAAGTAAAAATTGGGAAATATTTTTTTTATTGCTCACATCATAGCCTGAGCCAAAACTGTGTTAAATTATTTAATTTGTGTTTCTCTTATATTATAGCAAATGGGAGAAAACAAAAAACAACCTTCCTAAGGAGTGCTGCGTTTGGGATGGCAAATAAGCATTAAGTGATTAATGCCCAATAGTGACCAATAAATAATTTAGTTATCTCTGCAGACTTTCTGTTTTCTTGTAATATTTTGTTTCTTTAGATACATAATACACTTGCCCTTAATAATGAAAAAGTAAATACAACCATAATTTATTATTTTTATTGGGCTACCAGAAGTAACTGTTGTATAAGGACACCAATGTGGGTGGATAATTGGCATGATCTTCCAAATTTGCAGATTTTAGAGAAGATTAATATTTGATAATACAGTCTTAATAATGGTCGACCATTGAAAATGAGGTTAAAAGCAATCAATTTTCAAAAAGTTTACTCAATGGTTTATAAAGATATTTCTAAGAAATTGAACTTAACTAGCAAAGATTATAGTTTTAATCTGTACGTAAAATGTATTTTTTAAATCTTCTAACTACCTAAAAACTCTATTTTTTTCACATTCGTATATTAGCATGTATATGTGTGGGAGGTATAGTTCTGAGATGTTTATGTTTCATAGTTCATTTGCCTTAACTATTAGAAGTTATTCTTAAAGTACTTGAAGCCAGAAGGTCTAAACCAGGGGTGATTTTGCCCCCCAAGGGACATTTGACAACATGTAAAGACAATTTTGGTTGTCACAACTAAGGGAGGGCTATTGGCATCCAGTGAGTAGACGCCAAGGATACTACTAACCATCCTATAAGACAAAGGACAGGCCCCTATGTCAAAGAATTCTGAGGCCCCACATGTCTACCATGCCAATCTTCAGAAACCCCGTCCTAACCTTTTAAATTTGACCTTATTTTCAAGCAAATTTCTTAGTTCAGAGGAAGCACTCTTTTAAGGTAGCAACAGAATGGTGCATGCTAGTAGTGCCTCTCTTGCCCAGTGCTGCTGGATTGGTACTGAATTTAAACTAGTTAATGTGAATCCAGGAAAAACAAGGGCAGGTCATCATTTCAAGATAAAATGACTAACATGAAACTTTAATAGCCCTCAGTGTTGCACCGCTTTCTTTGTCTTTCTATGACAATAAACATCATATTTATGATTACTTTGTTTTTGTTAGGTGTGAAGATAGAATTCTAATGAACCATCAAATATCATAAAAAGGCAGTGAGAACAAGCACCTGGCTCAAAGGTCCACTGCCTGCTCATATAAGGTCCTAAATTCACTCTGGTAGTCTATATAAAACAAATGAGCTGTAGAAAAATGCTTTTTCTGGCAGTGTACCTATGTACCTTAAAACATTTCTCACTAGGAAAAAAAAAAAATAAAGCAAACATATACACATAACCCCCCCAAAACAACAAAAAAACTCTGTGTTGGCTAAAATGGCAGACACATTTTAAAGTATGCAGAGCATACATTTCAGTACTAAATTATTGCAAATAAATAAATCCAGAGAATGTAAAATGAAATATACAGGACTTCAACATATCCAAATGTCAACGAACAACAAGTAGTTGAAAGACCAGCCTTTTAATATGCACCAAGACCAATTCTTGGGCTACAATATACCTGTTCAAATAAAACAAAATCAACTTAATGTGAAGCATGTGTTGAAGGTACTCTATCCCTTTAACTATCTCCACTTGGCTGTTAGAGTGAAATGGTGTTAGACTATTCTCATTAACTTTTAAAAGCTTAAAGAAAAGCCAGAATTTTACACTTCTCAGAGCTAATAGGCCTTTCGTTTATTGCCAATCTTAAGTAAAAATTCACAAGTAGAAAGATGCCAAAACATATTTGTCTCTCTGGATACCTTTATAATTTTTTTTTAATTTCACCAAATCAATATTTACATATTTTATATTTTAATTTATACTTTTCATATGCTAAAATTATTTTTATAATGCACTTAATGGCTTACAAAGATTAACACAAATAGCAAATAAAAAATAAATCTAAAAATGTAATGAAACGTACCAAGAACACAAGAAAAAGAGAAAATAAGAACAATGAGATGGAGACAGAAAGAGAGGCACACAATTTACAGTCCTAGAGACTCACTTGTAGAAGCCACTGGGAATTTTGAAAATGTCAGATTGTATCTCAATAAATAACTATAAAATATGAGCTCAGAATATACCATATCCCATATCCTAAGACACTGCAGTCCCTCATTTTGGTAAAACTATTGTTTGTCTTTTCTTTGCCATGTCCTGTCTTTAAAAATAAATATCCTATTGTAATTTAATAACTCTCTTTATCTCAGCTATGCTACGTCCCTCAATTAGTCCCATACCCAAATGGCTCACAAACACACAACACTCTTTTCTTAGGTCCAGATCCACATATTCACCTACCTATTTGACATCTTTTGTTATATAACCTCAAGATATCTCCACTGTTATTGATAGCTCCCTCTGCTTCATTCTATAACCTATACATCTGCCGTACTGCCAACTTTCCATTTTTACTACCTTCATCCAGGTCCAAGACATTATGATAGCAACTACTGCAATAGCTTTTTAATGGGCTCTCAGACATTCACTCCAAAATCCCCTAATCTGTGAAAGCAAATCTGGTCATATTAGCTCTTCATAAAATATTAAACAGTTTCCCTTTGCAATTTTAAAATAAAAACAAACTCTTTAATATGACCAAAAAGTATTGACTTGGTCTTGAAACAAAACACCATTTCAATCACATTTCAACCCCCCTGCTTCCCGTATTTCAGCTACTATGGAACTTCATTTCCATTCTCCCAGCTCCATTCTACCATAGGACCTTTGAACATGCTGTGTTTCCTCTACATAACATCCTTTTTTCCTTTACATTAAACATCTTGTCATCTGGTTCACCCCATTCCTCTTTCTGAATTCATCACAAATGTCATTTCTTTAGAAAAGTTTTCTCAGATCCCTTCACTAGGCCCAACCTGCCTAAGGGAGTCTCATAGAGCTCTGTGGTCCTCCCTCTTCTTCCTGACATAGATGCAATTTTGTGTGTGTTTGTGGAACGCCCTAGTGAGTGTCTTTACGCTTCACAAGGATAGTGATATGGCTTGGCTGTGTCCCCACCCAAATCTTATCTTGAATTGCAGCTCCCATAATTCCCATCTGTTATAGGGCGGACCTGGTGAGAGATAATTGAATCACGAGGGCGGTTTCCACCATGGAAACTGGTTCTTGTGGTAGTGAATAAGTCTCACAAGATCTGATGGTTTTATAAGGGGAGAAACCCCTTTTGCTTGGTTCTCATTCTCTCTTGTCTGCTGCCATGTAAGACATGCCTTTCGCCTTCTGCCATGATTGTGAGGCCTCTCCAGACATGTGGAACTGTTAGTTTGTTAAACTTTTTCTTTATAAATTACCCAGTCCTGGGTATGCCTTTATCAGGAGCGTGAAAACGAACAAATACAGATATCAAAGAGGGCAGAAACCATGACTTTATTTTTGCTCATTACTAGACCCTCAAGTCTAATGCCCGTTCTTGACACTTAATGCCTGTCCAACAAATACTTGCCAAATGAATAAATGGATATTATAGTGGTATCTTGAATTAAGAATGATAAAAGTCAACCAGGCATGGTGGTGCATGCCTGTAATCCCAGCACTTTGGGAGGCTGAGGTGGGTGGGTCACCTGAGGTAAGGAGTTTGAGACCAACCTGGCCAACATGATGAAACCCCATCCCTACTAAAAATACAAAAAATTAGCTGGGCATGGCAGTGCGTGCCTGTAATCCCAGCTACTTGGGAGGCTGAGGCAGCCTGGACAACAAGAGCAAAACTCCATTTCAAAAAAAAAGATAAATAAAAGTTAACTATTTGAGATGTTGGTGCTAATTTCTGAACCAGTGATATACACTGTGTAGAAAGGCACATAATGGCATAAAAGGTCAGTGTTTGAAAATTATTAAAAGGATAACATAATGCCCCAAGACCAATAATAAATTCTTACATATAGAACTCTTATGGTACTGTTTATACACATTGTTTTATTACTCCAGATACTCTATGGGACAGAGGATATTATTCTCCTTTTTATCAAGAGAAAACTGAGCTTAAAAAAGTTAAGTAACTTTCTCAAAGTGTTTTAAAATGTAAATGATAGAGCTGGGATGTGAACCCAGGTTGTAGTCATTTCAAAGTCCGTGACCTCTATGCTGCATAGCATTAGTAGTGTCTAAATTTAGGTGACTATTTGGGGGAGGAGGTCATGAATTTTTTTTAATGTTAATAATCTTCATTCATTTAATAATTTTGGATGATCGCCCTCTATAACAGAGACTTCTACATTTCATGTAAATATACCAGGGTAAAACTTTGCAATTTTTAAAATCACAGCATTAACTATACAATGGGGTCACTCAATGAAAATCGTTTATGAATATGACCGAAGATTTCATTATAAAAACACCCACCACCAGTAGCCCAAAAACATTACAACAAGGCTCTTGTGTGGAAAAAAAAGTATTTCTCTTTAAGAAAGACTTTTCTTCTTTTTTTTTAATCACTGGCACAAAAATTTTCTCAGAAAACACTAAGGAATATCAACCAATCAAAGACACAAAGGTTTATCAAGGAAGGTTTATGGAAAGCAAATGTTCTCCAAATATGCAAATCCAAAAAGGAAGGACAAGGCTGGGTGAACCCTGTCTGCAGATAGCACAGAGTAACTGAGTAATCACAGAGTAATTGTGACTGTTTCAAGAACTGTGTTTCAGATCATGTTAACTTGAGGAACAATAAATAAATCTTGCTAATTCAGTGAAACTGCTGGTTTTATGAAGAACCTATTGTGGGCCAATATTTTATAATTCAATATTAGTGATACACTGGGCAAATTTTCTCATTAATGACACTGCATCATCAAACTGCATAAATGCTCCACTGACCCTAACTATTTGCTACTGACCTCCACAGTTTGCTGGAAGTAGCAGTTGTGTATGTATTCCAAATTTAAAAAGCAAATTTCTATTTCAAAGGACAGATCTGTGACTGCCTTTAAACAATACAGACTCATTTAATATCTAATTTATTCAGAACTGAAATAATGTCACACAAAAAGCTCTACTTTTGTTTTTCAGTAACAGTATGGAAGCTGTGATTTCTGAGCAATAATAGAAGAATACTTCAGCCTCTCAGCCATTACAGTAAGCAGAGAATGCAAGAGAATGCATGAGTTCTTTTGTGGAAATTGGCAGATAATGGCAGCTTTTCTGAAATCTCCCACTTTTTTAAATTGGCAATCCGATAAAACCTTTAAATTTGGGGAGTGGGAGGAGGAAATGTTTCAATAACCACATATTAAAAATAACTTGCTAAAGAAAGGCCTTGAGGCTCTCGGATATACTAAGAACAAACAATCAAATGTATCCTGTACCTGGGAAGACAAAAGCCTCACAATCACGATGTTAAAAGGCAAGAACCTTGGGCTCCAGAGGTTAAAGGGTAGCATCCTGATGCCATAATTAGGCAACTGGATGCATAGCAAGAAGAGTTCTGGAGGGGCAATTAGAATTGTCACCAGATCCATCCTGGATACATCACTAAGTGTCTCTAAGCCTTAGTTTTCTGTCTTTGGAACACTTGGTTTGGCTCAGTGCTCTATTAGGCCTAGCCTGGAATTCAAGATTCTAAACTCTCAGCAGGAATTTTACCTACAAAGAAATATAAAACTAGACTCCACATTTTTGAGTCCTAATTCAGAGACAATGTTGATAATTTTTATATCATTGTATGTCACAAATCTGTAGATGTCAAAAATTCTTACAAATCCTTATGATTATGGATTTTCTGACAGTACAGTAGAAATCGACCAAGGGCACTGGGTTCATTGAGGATATTTTATTAATGAGACTTACTTTTTGATTAAAAAGTATGTATTAATATTGATTTCAACATACCTCCATTATGCAATGTGACTGAAAACAGAAAATACTAGTCACAAAGTGAAATGTAATTCTATTTCTTTTAAATACTTCTGCACCTATCCATTTAAAAATATTTGGATGAACCACAAAAAATGTCTATTATGCATCAATTTTTTACCTAAGCAAACCTGCAATTTTATACGTTTTAAACTGAATGAACTTGTTTGTATGTGTGTATAACATGAATTAAAATGCTAGGTAATTCCAATAATCAACAGGATATCCTGCATTATCAGACCTTACTAAATAAAACAAGCTTTTATCGGCTACTTACTCTATTGCATTGGTCTTAACTCTATTCCATAATGGCACAGTTTAAATCAATGTTTTATTTTTATATTATCATTTTCCTAAATGCACATAGCAGGAGGGGAATTTTAACATTGTCTTCATTATTTTATAGGAAGTATCACAGATTATGTAAGTATCTTGTCCAATGGGGATAATATGAAGATAGGCTAAAGTCTTTTGGGGCTTAAAAACTTAGTACATCAAAAGGAAATATGTGGAGTTATTCAGGCATATGTCTTTTATTGTCATTGAAACATAATAGAATTTGGTTACCTTTATGGTTATTCAAATGCTGAAAAAATTATCTGTGATTTAAAAAAATCAACTGGCAGCATAAGCACTGTCATCAGTTGATGCTGATTTCTCTAAGCTCCTTAGCCTTTATATCACTTCTACTCGTACAAGGGATGCTTTGTATATTTCTCAGGCAAGTTTCTCATTTTATTTTGTTTTGTTTTTAAATTCTAAGTAGCTTTAAAAATTGTGCTATTGTTCCATCTATTCTTCTTTCCAATTTTGTTAGGCATTTAGTGACAGTGGGCTTTGGTGGAAACTTATCCATTGCTCAGACCAGGGACATGAGTCTTGATTAGCCAAGACATTCCTGGTAGAACCCTTCTAATGCCTGTGACTGGCTCAGAAAAGGGCCAATGACACTGGAGGAAAACTGCTGGGGAACTTATGGGAAAGGTTCTCATTTGAAACATACACCCACCCAGCATCCTAGTTTATCTAAGGATGCAGTTATATGAGGATGCAATGAATGAAACTACTGCACCCATTTTGTGATCACAGTGCGACATAACTAAGGGCAAAAGCCAATATGCTGAAGATGGCAGAGTGAAGATGTCCAGGTTCTAAAGAACCTGGAGTTGTCAAACTACCTGAGCTTTGGATTTTTTGTTGTGTGACCTAATAAACTGGTGTATTTTCTCCTTAAAGAGAAAGATCACATTTCTGTATGTGTGTTTGACTGTGTGAATATGTGTGCCTGTGTACGTATATAAAATGGTCAATAAAATGTTAATGCTGATTTTTTAAATGAGTTTTTTTCCAGTATTTCTTTACTGGCAGAATTAAAGTTGGTTATAATCTCCCCCACTTTTTATGCATGTTCCTATATTTAGTGTAGGAGAGTTAAAAGGACAAGGAGGAAGGATGAGGCAAAAAGATGGAATAAAATTTTATTTTGGAATCAGAAATTGATTACTAAGAACAGTGACTTGAAGCAATTCACTTTTGGAGTATCTGTCATAATCAATAACTACCCACAGCTTGGTTAATGAACGTTATTTTTAGTTGAATTACTAACAAAGGAAACAATTAGATATGATCACCAACATTTTCATGCATTAATGCCAGTGCAAATTAACTCCTACCACTAAAATTACTCCTTCTGTCTGTCAAAATCTGTGACGGCTATGACTTACTGCACGCAGAGCATAATTGTGTCTCCCTGCCTGCATAAAGCTGACACATAAAATCAATATTAATTAAAAAAAGATCAAAATTGTCCTCATTATCTTATTTGGCTGTCTCTCCAAAATAGGGTTACCATTTATGACAGAATAAAACAGAGTCTGGACTTAAATGATTCCTCCTGCCAAATAATAAATGATCCTTTTATTGGTTGGATCTATTAATAAATATCTATTTCTCTATGGATGAAGTTATGCATAGTGTAACTTTGAAAAAGGACCCAATGTCTAACTATAAATTCATCTAGACTATCTATGACACTTTGCCATGGATATATTTTTGTTCTACACATCTGTATTCTCTATTCTCTCCTCTGCCCAAATGCTCCTAATACAAGAAAAGAATAATCATTTATATCAGAAGTTGAGGATCACTGTGCCCTGCAGAATGTATATAATTTATTTGACATTTTATCTTTTCTATTATAATGAATACAATTTTAAGTTTTATTATTATTACACATTTATTTTAATGAAAAATTTGTGGGTTCCTAAAATACTGAGAGAAATATGTGAGCTCAGGAGATTTCTCATGTTCATCAGGAGGTTTTGCAAATTTGTGCCTCAGTTTATGAGGTTTCATGATACTTCTTTTCCTTTCCACTCCATTTTCTTCATGCTGGCTTTCCACACAGCACCTTAATGAATAAAATGACAATTCCAGAGAATGTTACCATCACTAGGATGACTTAGTATGGAACCCTAACCCTAATCATCTCAAATCGATTGACCCCCAGAAACAAAAATCACAGGGTTAGTTTCTTCTGTTCTTTCCTGCTCCCAGTGATGCCTTACAGACATCTCTGAGAACTGGGAGTCTACATGATGTGAGATATTTTCTTATTACCATCAAAACTCATTCAAACAATATTCGCTTTAATAAGTTGGTGTTTACTTGCCAACAAATATCAATAACTCACAACCACAAAAAATAATTAAAAAGGAAAAGAAAATAAAAGAAATATAGGTGGTTTATGAATATTCAATCAATCACTTTAAACCACAGGTAATTTTATCACTTATTTTGTCCCATTTTAACAATTTATGCTCAAGATATAGTAAAATGAAGTAAAGCTTAAACCTTTGACTAAATGTTTCAAAGAGAAAGAAATTTAACTTTGAGAATTGCAATATTTACATATATATAAATGCAATATTTACATATATATATATATACTCTTTTTTCTTTTCTGCCCTTAAATTGCCACTTATACATAGAGTACATCACTTCTGCTATCCAAATGATTTGGTTTGCTTTACAGAAACCCAAGTTTGGCACTTTGGGAGGCCGAGGCAGGTGGATCACAAAGTCAGGGGCTCAAGACCATCACCCTGTCTCTACTAAAAATAACAAAAATTAGCGGGGCATGGTGGCGGGTGCCTGTAATTCCAGCTACTTGGGAGGCTGAGGCAGGAGAATCGTTTGAGCCCGGGAGGCGGAGGTTGCAGTGAGCCAAGATCACGCCACTACACTTCAGCCTGGGTGACAGACGGAGACTCCGTCTCAAAAAAAAAAAAAAAAGAAAAAAGAAACCCAAGTCTATATGATTATAGGCAAATTATTTAATTTCCATATCTCAACGTTCTAATTCATGAAATAAGCATCATAATACTACTCACCTAATAGGTCCCTTGAGAGGATTGAGTCCTCAATAAATGGTAACTGCTACTATTAATAAATAATAACATCGGCAGATTCTAACACTCAGTCATATAGACAATAACTTCAGGAAATATTCTCCACAACATTACTTACTTCCACATTTTCACATTAAAGGTGAGGAAAATTGATTTCTGAAGTTCAGTAGATAGACCCAAAATCATCCTCCAATTAGCTGGTGGCATAGACTGAACAAGTGAAGAGACAAT
Organism: Homo sapiens; assembly: GCF_000001405.40. Taxonomy (NCBI): domain Eukaryota; kingdom Metazoa; phylum Chordata; class Mammalia; order Primates; family Hominidae; genus Homo; species Homo sapiens. The sequence continues at coordinate 50,742,971 of NC_000002.12, forward strand.
GTTCAAGGTCACTAGAACTTGCTGTAGCACATGTGAAAATTGTAGCAGAAATAAAAGTATAAGAAAAGACAGTGGTTTCCAAAATAACACTGACATTTTCACTATAGAGAGATGACAACAAAATTAGAACATTTAAATATTTTTAAAGGATTTGTTTTCTCTTCTATGACAAAAATTTGATTTTACTTTTGCATTAGTGAAGCGATATGCTTTTTGAACTTGAGGTTAGGTGGGTCCCTACCTCGTGTCTTTGTTGCTATCAGTTTGTACAACTAAAATCTAAATGCCTCGGTTTCCTTCTAGGAATTATGAGCTATGCACTTAAAATTCACTGAAATTTTAAAGTGGGTATGCTCTACTAACAAAATTAATAAGAAGATGTTAATTGAGGGTGGCAAACTAAATACAGGAAACTGCTCAGCATTTTTTTGTCAGAAAATATTTCAAATGAGACAATTTTGTGCCTCAAGAGTTTATGTTAGCTGGGAAATGGAGAAGGGAAGTTGGGAGAATATCTGAAGAAAGGGAACATTTAATGAACATTAAATAATAAGACTTAATGTTAAGCACTTCCCACATCAATTTTGTTTTCCAGAAATCCAATGAGAAAGGTAATTTGCAGATGAAAAGAAAATGGAATGTCAGTTAATTTGACAAATGTCAAAGACATGTTTAAAACTTTGAAACTTATCTAACAGATTTAACCATCACGTGATCTTTTAAACCCTCACTACAGTCCCATCTTCTCCTTTTCCTTACTTATAAAACAACCCTAGATTTCCTTTTCAGTGTTAAATAGTATTCTACCTTGAAAAGAAGTAAGACATGACTACTTTATACTGAATTTATTCAATAAAGAAAGAATTTGATCACACATTTCTGAATAATTACTGCTTTGTGACAAAATGAAAATTAATGGAAACAGAAAGTTTCCTCCTTCATAGAATCACCATTTACTCACTAGCTTTGAAACTAATTCTAGCCCAAGATTGCCCTCAAACCAGGTCCAAACACAAACTGTAATCCTTATAAACACCATAACTATGCAGGGTGGAATTATCACCCACACTGAGCCTTTTCTTTCAAGTGTTATTTCTGATTTCACATGTGTTGAGAACATTTATATACAAGACCTGAGCTACACAATTTTAAATGTTATTACTTGTAAAATATAAGCTGTGTCTTTATAGTCACATATCTTTATAATGTTACAAGAAGGAATAATAATATAAACACCATCACAGTTAATTTATAATAATTTGGTAAAAACAATAATATTTTAATAATGAAGCTAAGGTAATATTTGTAAGCAAAGGAAATCCCCAATGTGGAACAAAAAAGAATGAACAGCAAAGAGGCCATCAAGACCTCACAAGTGCTCATCTCCCCAGATATAAGTACTTGGTCAATATATGTAAGAAAATATTTTCTCTCTAATGATAAGAATAAAAACATTAATTATAACAAGATATAATTAATAATCAGTTACTACTTATCGAGAATCTATTAAATCTGAATTATTCCATTCATATTTTTAAAGGGCTTGTATATATACATAGTTTTTCATATGCGGGTATATGGACCCATATACATATAAATGGTCCTTCATTTATTCTATTGACCTTCGGAAACTTGTTTTCCCCATTTTATAGATGATCAAATTGAGGTCCAGGCTACTTAAGTGACTTCACTGAAGCAAAATCCAAGTAGAGAGATATTACCTGTTTAATTAGTTGACATGCACTGAGCTTTAGATTGTGAATATGTATATTCATAATAATAAGATTATGGTTACATGAAACTGTAAAAAATGCTGTTCTTTTCTAGGGAAATAAACACATGTTTAGCACAGAATGTTAAAAGTAGCATGGAGTAGTATGAGATAAAATTAAACATTTGCTTTCAAGGTTATGGCAACAAATGACCACAAAGAGAAAAAATGATAACTGAATCATAATTTTCTGACAATCTCTTGGTGTTTCTGTATTCCTCCTTTGTGCTTCACATGCTGCCCTCTCAGTGAAAAGCAACTATAAGCACATAGTCTCCAACTGAGCATGCGGCTGGAAGGCATGCACCATCATGGTTAATTAGGCAGGCTTCAGAATTCAGCAAGTAGGGTGAATCTTAGCTATATCACTTCCTAGCTAGGCAACCTTGGGCAAGCATTTAATCTCTCCAAATCTCTGTTACTCATCTATACAATAAAGTTGATAATAGTATCTACATGAAATGACTATAGCTAGAATTAAATAAGGCCAGGGCTATCACAATACTTGGTCCATAGTAAGTGCTCAGTAAATCATGCTTATTTTTATATTTATATCTGCCCCCCCCCAGGACTGAAAAAAAACCACTTTAACTTTTTCCTCTAGAGGTATTACTGCTAATAAGTGCCTCCCCTCCCCTCCCTTCCCTTCCTCTCCCTTCCCCTCCCCTCCCCTTCCCTCCCTTTTTCTCTTTCCATTGAGAAAACCAAATCTAACATGAACATGGCATTTTCCTTTCTGTCTTGGTATAGCCTATCATTTCTGGATTCACCATATGGTTAATAGATGGTGGTGAGACATAGTGTGGTATATTAGTTCATTCCCATGCTGCTGATAAAGACATAAGCAAGACTGGGTAATTTATAAAGGAAAGAGGTTTAATTGATTCACAGATCAGCATGCCTGGGGAGGCCTCAGAAAACTTACAATCATGGTCGAAGGGGAAGCAAACATGTCCTTCCTCACATGGCAGCAGGAGACAGAAGAACGAGAACCGATTAAAGGGGGAAGCCCCTTGTAAAATCATCAGATCTCATGAGAACTTACTCACCATCATGAGAATAGCATGGGGGAACTACCCCCATGATTCAATTACATCCCACTGGGTCCCTTTCATCACACGTGGGGATTATGGGAACTACAATTCAAGATGAAATTTGGGTGGGGACATAGCTAAACCATATCAGGTGGAAATTTTAAAACAGTAATCAAGAAGACAGAACCCTTCCTCTCACTGCCAATGGGACAACTAGCCCAGCCTCTTCTGTGTTCAGATCATAGCAGCATCTAGCAGTGACTTGAAGCTAGGGAAGCTCCATTTCAATTTCTGAGCTAAAACTTTTTCTCCTGGCACCCAAATTTATATTTCTGAATCAGTTTTGCCGTAGAAAAATTGTTATGCATGGTGGGGAAGTTCTAAAGTTGTTGTACATTATTACCTACCTCAAGAACATTAAGGATTAAGGAGGCTTCCAAGAGCTCACTGGTGTGAGGGGCTGGTGAGCAAGCGTACTACTGTATCAATGAAAAGATGAGGGATGGGCACAGGGGCTCATGCCTGTAATCCTAAAACTTTGGGAGACTCAGGCAGGAGGACTGCTTGAGGTCAGGAGTTTGAGACCAGCCTGGGCAACATAATGAAACCTCATATCTACAAAAAATTTTAAAAATTGGCCAGGCATAGTGGTGTCTGCCTGTGGTCCCAGCTACATGGAAGCTGAGGCAGAAGGATGGCTTAAGCCCAGGAGCTTGAGGCTGCAGTGAGCCATGATTATGATACTACACTGCAGCCTGGGCAACAGAGCAAGACCCTGTCTCAAAACAACAACAACAACAACAACAACAACAACAACAACAAAAATGTGGTCTGATTTTCAAGTACAATTCACAAAGGCACATTTGAAACACAATCCACTCAGAGACTGGGGGCTGCTTTTCCCTTTCTTTTCATTGGCCACTGGCCACTAGAGGGCTGCTGTGAGTCATCCCCCTTGTCAGAGGCTCTTAAGGCTCATAGTTCTGAAATTAGGATGCATTTCAAGGGCGGGACCAAATTCTCCTCCACTTCTACAGTATCTGCAGAGTGTCTAGAAATGAGAAGGACCGTTTCAAGAGCTCATAAATATCCTGTTGTGGAAGACAGATGAATGCTCTGGGTTGGAAGCAAATTTTTTTTTAACACATACCTAGGGAACTTATGAACACTCTAGTTAGCTTCTTCAATGTGTCTGAAGACTGCTCACACTCCTGTTGACAAGTAAAGAGGGTGAACTCTAAGAAGTATATTTAAATGCAAAAATGAACCCAGTTCATGTGCTTTTCTTGTACTCTCTGTGTTTTAGGGTAGATTATCATGAGTGGTAAAGAAGATAGAGACCGGCATTAGAGGGTGGGGCTTAGATACACACTCATATACAACGGGTCATTTAGGTTGCACAAAAATCAGAAAGATGGCCACAGATCAGAAGTGGTTTTCCACTCAAACCACTGACCTCTGGGTTGTCTTTCTGAAGAACTTCTTTCCTGTTGGTTAGAGTTTACTTGGTATGTTCTTGACCCGTGAGACAGGAATGAGGAGATCAGACAAATGGGAGGTCAGAAAGGAGGAAGAGATTATTCCCATGTGGAATGAGGTTTCCTAATTTATAGATTCCTCTGTGGATGTTTGGTGGAAACAAACCTCTCCCCATTTGCTTAATTTTCTCTTGCTCTTCACACAACACAGTCAACCATATGTTAGACTCTTGAAGGTTCCATCTCTTTCCCTGGTTTTCTTTTAATTCTATTTCCTCTCACCCCAAGCCAATCCAGAGGGTGGAATTCCAACTTCGATTCAGACATCAAAGCCAGTGTGGCCACACTTGATCTATCTCATCTTCTTTAATAGACTTAATTCTTCTCAAGGCAGGTCAAGATTCTATTATCTTTGGTAATTTTATCTAATTCATTAATCAAGAACAGGATTTTCTACATGAGTAATATGAGTAATAATAATATCCATCTATGTGCTAATCTTCTAATTATTTTACACATATTACTTCGTTTCTTCTATGAACAGCCTATCAGGAAAATTGCTGGCAACATTTTAGAGATGAAGATACTGAAGCACACTGTGGTTGAGCAACTTGCCCAAGGCTCGCAACCAGGAGAAGGTGTATATGGGATGTGATCACCAAAAGTCTGTTTTCCATATCATCAACACTGTCCTAGCTGTGGCTAAACACCTCTACCTCTGCTATGACCAGCAGTCTCTATTTTTGAGCTGCACCTAGCATGCACCAGACATGATAATGATAATCTCACAAGCATCACTTCCCTTAGTATTCAAAACAACATCATCAGCTGGGTACTGTCCCCACGTATAGACGAAGAAACAGAGGCTTGGCAGAGTTTAGTGCGATATCAGAGGTCACACCTCTAGTAATAACCCAACCAAGACTGCTGAATGTTTCTCTGACTGCAAAGGCTGTACTTTTACCCAGCAAATCATGTTGCTCCTATAGAAAGACTGCACCCAACCGTCCCTGGAAATACCATAGGCCTGTTTTAGCACACTGCGCAGCACTGATAAGGTTAAATAGAAACTGTGATTATGCATCACTGCATTGCTAATATCTCTATGAATAAAATGTCGATTTGATTTTCATTTAACCTCAAAAGAATCTGATTACCAAATAACCATTGAAGAATTATTGGCAATTATGTTCTGTAATTATGGTGCCTGTTAATGTCATTAGCGTACAGCCTTTCATATTTAGTACTATTAATTAATCCCCATAAGCATAGAAATTTATAATCAATATAACAAAGGCTCCATGGTAAATTATAAATACTCCCGAAATCCCTCCAACAGTTTACAGGGCTCCGTGGGCTTCCTTGGTTGGGACACATTTAGTTTGGGGGCTGCAAGAATCTGTGGTAATTGATAGCTTTTCACCCGGAATCGGCTATCTCACTAATGTGCCTAATTAGGCAAATGCTTAAAACTGGAGTCCCAACTGCCACTGACAACTATAAATTCCTGTAGGGCAATCAAAATAATTAACTGCTTGAGTCAAGAGACCCACAAATCAGATATACAACTTTTCAATTCTCTGAGCAATATACTGCTTCAGATAACAACTACTGTCAGTGAGTGTCTGGTTTCGGTTTTGGAGGAGTTGAATACAGTAAGTATGTCTAATGTTAAAAGTCCAAAAAAGATTCATGATAGCTCTATCTCACAGATATGCAAGATAAACATGCATGCTCACAGTGATGCTAGGAATGGATGCTTTGTAAAGCACTGGTCTAAGAATATCATGTTTTTCAAAATCTCCCAATCCATCCTCAGATTTTCTTTTACACATTTTCTCAAACTGAAACGTATAAGTCTGTTTTATAGAAAACCTATTTTGTTTTTGTAATTTTAAACATCTACATTAATATACATCAGATTTTTTAAATGGTTACATTCACATATTTTATCTGAAACAACTACTGCTATAATTGTCTAAAGATGCAGCAAGCTGCCTCAGAAGTGGTACATTCTAATAAGATGTGGCATGATAATCTATTCTGCATTGTTCAGAATTGGACTAGTTGGTTTCTGAGGCCCTGCTCTATGTTAGAATCTAAAAGTCCGTGAATCCCATTCTTTTTTCCCACAGAGAAAAGGGATTAGAACTTGCTCCCTGTTGGCATCCCACGCCCTTTCCTGATTCCATTCTTGTTCTGGACAATTTCCCAGGAATTAGTGCATAACCCTCTACAGCTGCTGGGCCTCAGAAACAATTTGGGAGGAGAAAATAGAGGCTCAGAATAAAGAAAATATCTATTAAAGCATTATTGCATCAAATATAATGGAGAACATGTTCATCTTTTAAAAATTCAAAAGGAAGAATATGACACATTTAGGAGGCATCCAAAAATCACCTTTTTCAGATAAATAACTGTTAGTGGAGAAATAAAATTAACTTGCAATTTGGAAGAATTAGTAGGCAGAATTATAATATTTAAGATCTGAAAATAACCTCAAAGGTCATTTGAATCCAATATTCCATTTTACAAATGAGTAAGGTGAAATTCAGAAAGGGTAAATAACTTATCCAAGGTCCCAAGTACATTGATGGCTGAAATGGAACTGGAAATGGAGATATCTTAACTACCCCATCTTCCACCACCCCTAAACTAAATGGTTAATTAAATTTAAAAGCTTATTACAGGGTATGCTTAAAGGCACAACTTCAGATTCGTGGTTTTAAAATAAAAGATTGTATCCTAACATCGCTGACAACCACAGTTAGCATGGATTCTCAGTCTTGTCAAGATGCAGAAGTAAGATATGCATAGACATTGGGATGGGAGATCTTATCAGGTCCTGTAGTTCTATTCTACGAGCTTTCAGTAAGTTTTATACAAACTAAAACAATAATAATAATAATGGATGATAACGACAGGAGCCTATACTATTTTGAGGCTGAAACAACTACATCTCACATAATTTGTCACATAGCATTCAGAGCCCTCATCTGACCTGTAGTCATTTTTTTCATTTCTGTTTTGGTGGCTTCTATAGCTTTTTATTTATTTGTGTTTGTATTTTTTTGAATTAGTTGTCAGTAGTCAAAAATTAAAAAATGTCACAGAAAACCTGACTACAATTTTCTTACATGTAGCTCACTAGTTGTTAAAAAGCAGAGAAATAAAAAAGGAAGAGAAGAGAAAAGAAGAGAAGAGGAAAGAAAGAAAACCAAAGAAAGAACCTAATGCAAATGATGAGATAATGGATGCAGCAAACCAACATGACACATGTATACATATGTAACAAACCTGCATGTTGTGCGCATGTACCCTAGAGCTGAAAGTATAATAATAATAAAAAAAGAAAACCAAAGAATTCCTTCTGTGCTTGGCTCAGCAGCGTTGGAGTTCCTGACTCCACTTTAATGTTTCCTTAGTCTAGCACCACCACCAAAGTTCTTATACAAATCATTTTAACCACCACCGAAGTACTGACACAAGCATTACTAGCCGAAGTGGTTGTAGATTTCCTTGAAATTAAAAATATGTTTCACCTTTGTAGTTTCAATGAGAATAAGAAATGAATGTGCAGAACGTCATTCTTAATAACTATGCTTATTATAAGAAAACATAAAGAATGCATAATGGAGAATGCATATTTCTTCATGCATGATGGTTATGGGACCAGCCCTTCTCTGTTTTATTTCCTCTTCCTTAATAGGTAGCTATGCAATAAGAACAAATTTTGAAAAAATAAGACAAAAGAAGATATTCTGATTTAAAAGGAGGTGGAGGAAGAGGAGGTAGTGTCAGTGGCACAGGTAGTACCTAAAGTCTACCTGAAGATTCTCTCCAGGACATGGGTTACATGCATAAATTGGGCCTCTGAAAGCCTTAAACTTTATCTAGAGATGGCATATAGGCTTTGGATTTAACACTTTCTGTGCTCTATTTCATCACATTTATAGAACTGTTTTCATAGCTTTGAATAAGTATGAGCTTATTACATGAATATTTAGTTTATTACATACTACTATATACAGCTGTGATTGTGAACAGATACACTTCTGCTTTTTGTTGAAGATAGGACTGAGTTAGCAATGTCTACTGTATTAAACAGAAAAATAATTCTCTCTGGCCACTTCCATATTCTCCCAGATCAGGACCTATACAAACACTGGGGAAAACAAACTTCCAAGTGATGGCAGCACAATCAAGCTGTTTTGTGGAAGGTATAACTGCTTTGCATGGTTATAAGCCTGCCAGAAAACATGCAGGAATTCCCAATTCCCAGAGCAGAAACATTGCCAGCATGTAACTCTGGATTCCACCCCATATGCCATATTTCCAGCCCATCTTCGGTCAGCACATAGTCTGTGCTCCTGGGGCGTGCAAGACTGTGAAAAGGCCTGCATAACTAGCTTTCATGATGATTCCTGCATTAAAGAGTAAAAGCATCTCTGTTCAGCTTTCAAACAGCCTACTTACCCATGGCCAGGAAGAAGGGGAAATTAATCATTTAATTAAATTAGTCATTTTCCAGACTAAAGATAAACTTGGAATATGACTCACTTAAGCAAAACTTTCCACAGGTGTCACTTCTCCAGGAAGATTAAGAGAAGGGCCCAGGTCTCCTATTCCAGAAAACTATTTGAGGGTTGAAACCTCCTCCACTGTGTATCACCTAGCACAGTGCCTAGTGAACAGTAAGAATCAGGAAAGAGTTATTGGATTGAGTAGCTATTGAATTGAAATGGAACCCAGTCTGCCCACTCTAAAACAGTCACTTTGAACACAGAATGTATTAAGGTGTTATTTCACGTGCAGGCTGTTACAAATGTTGACTCAGGCTCAAACAAACCTTTTAGCATTTTTACTTTTAATCCAATTGAATGATTTTACAAAATAGGGCAAGGATATAAATTCAAATAAATTAACAGTGGGTAAAAGAGCATCTAGTCCTCAAAAAAAAATTCTTTGGCCTGCCTATCATTTATATTTGTACAATTATTCCTCTTCTCTAAGGTTCACAACACTTAGGCTTCTGAAGATGGAAATACACTGCACAGGGTATTAACTTCTGCCAATGGAAATAAAACTGTAAATGATTTGGTTTTGTGATTATTTAACATATAAACATGTGCTCATTGAGAAAAATGATGTCTGGACAACTGACATTGTATTTCTGCCAAGTACCAAGCTAATGTTCATAAAATTTTACTGGAGGGAACCCAATGCTAACTATAGGATTTCAAACTGCTGATCTGGAGAGATGAATCGTGAAGCAATCTACGTTGTATGGCTAATCAGAATTCCCATCCTTACCCATGCTCTGAAAAGAACCTAAAATTTCTATTTGGAGGCAACTTCAGAAAGCTTTCATTAATTTAAATTTTAAAGCAGATTTCTTCCCATTATGTGTATTCAACTGAAAGCCTATTTAACACAACACCATGATAAAAGTGAAAAAAAAAAAAATGTCAGGTTTTTCCAAGGCATCCATTTTACTTTATTCCAGAATCCAGAGGCATTGAAAATCCAGGGCTTTCTGCATTTCTTAGGATGTTTTGAAAACTAAAAAGAACTGGTGATAATTTGGTGATTTCCCGTTCTCTGCAATTTATTTTAAACATGTGAAATGAATGACTCTATGTTCCTTAAAGCTGCCCCCAAATTAAGCAATGTAATAGTTGATAATTAGATGCATTTAATTCTAATTTAATAGCCATCTTTATTTGGCATGCTCTTTATATAAATACTACTCAACTGAATCCTATTAACACTTACATGGTTTATTACATTTCATCTGAGGAAAAATGTACATATTCTAAAAGCTGCATTATTTAATCTTGGTGTTAATTTACTGGTATGCTTAATGAGTTTACAGGTTTAGTATTATTTAAACTTTGTGAAATATATGTAACTTTTCTTTATTTTACCTTTAATATTTGGAGAAAAAAAGGTTCTATTAGGGTTTTCAATATGGTTATAATTGTAGAATGAAAATAAGATAAAATTAAAATTAAAAAGCAGAAGTGGTACAGTTCTCATAATTTTCTACATGCACTGGAGAGGAACAGGTTTTCAGGAAATCTCAAATGGGAAGTAGATGTGTTGAGCATGTTGAACTAGGAAGGCTCCTAGCAAAAACAAATGAGATGCTGTACTGCCTCTCCATTACGGCCAACACAGAAGGAGAAAAGAAAATGGCATCGTCATGGCAGTCTACAAATAACTAATCACTCCCATGCACGGTTGATTTTCAGTATGGAGTCTGGCAGGAAAACCTCAGGGACTCTGTCACCCACTTGCAGGCCAGCTTCACATGACACAGTATTATTATTAGCAGCAATATTTTGACCATTTCTAGTTATCTTTTCTCTTCTTATCTCTCCCCTGAAGTTGATACAAGAAAAGATTATCTGAAAATAAAGAAAATAAATACCAGAAAAGGTTTAAGTAGGAAAAACTGCATGTTTTTAGGAAATATTCTGAGTGATTAGATAGGGGAATAAAAAGTATGAAACGATTATATCATGTTCTATGTAGCCTGACAAGGTAATCCCTAAGTGAGAGAATTTTTTACTGCTGCAAATTTGTGTGTGTAAAGTGTGACTGACAAGCCACAAACATAAATTGGTAAAACCAAAAGGAAGTCATTTAGCAGCTCATTATTTTACAATTTTCTACATTTCAATAAATTCATCATGACGATTTTTTTTTGGGGGGGGGCGGAATTCCCAATGGCATTAATGTACTAGTTTAATAGAACAATAAAATAATATTGCAGGAAAACATATGGCTCTGCCAAAAATATTAAACTAATATACCATAAAAGGAAAATGAATAGGTGATTCATTCACTATCCATTTACAATTATTTAAATTATAAAAATGAAAGCAGCCTCTTCATTTTAAAAGACAAAAGAAAAGTCATTTAGTAGTTTAGTAATCAAACCTATGTGAGAGATCAGTTATCTGGTTAGATATTGATCTCACTTATAAATGATTTTATATTACACTATGCTCCTAGTTCATGATACATATACACACATCCTCTTATTATTTATTGAACATAAATTTATATCAAACTGGCTTTAAGACTCTTGTAAATTTGTGGGAGCTCCAGTTTTACTAAGGCAAAGTGAGATGCAGAATCAACTCCATTTTTTCCAAACAATTGATTCCTTATCTTCTAAAATGCCACAATTTTCATTATGCCATACAAAATATTACGGAATGTAAATTATCAGTAAAATTTCCTTAGTTATCTATTTCACTGTGAAATATGAACACAGCCTGTATTAATAACCATGAATTCAAAGAGAAAATGCTTTAAATATATATCAGGCTAGCTTAATCTAAGCATATTGTTTGCTGTGGTTCTTTTTCAGAACTGAATATCAAGCTACAGTCCACTCTGCCGAAAGCTTCCAGCTTTCCAAAAACTGAAAACCTTCGCCAGTAAATCACAACTGTTTTACCATATGCCTCTCTGTTCTGCCAAGCATTACCAGCTTGTTCTACTTTTAAGCAAATTTCATTATATTATAGCTCAGAGCAATGCTCATTAAAAAGTATTACTGAAAAATGTCAAGTTGTTTTTATATAGAAACTAGAATTTATTTTCTACTGAAAAGTCAGATATTTATTGAACACAAGACATTTTTAAAACATAGCTTTCATTTCACAAGTTGGTTCAACTTAATGATTATCTGAAGTACTTTGGGTCTTGCACCAGTTAATGTTCACTAGTATCTCCCATTGATGTAGATTAACCATTGCCTTTCTAGAATCAACTTAGACTCAGATTAGTGGAAAATTCTCGGTTTCTTCACCTATATTCATATTCTCATTGATCTGCCTATTCTCCTGGCTCCCCGCCAGAGCCTTCTTGAGAACTGCTCCACTGGACATACTTTAGGGGACTGTAAACTTCATTATAGCCTATTCATTATAGTATAAATACAGTTCAAAGAACACTAGCTTAGAAATCTCAACCCCACCGCTTCTAATTGTGTGATTCTCAATTAAGTCAGTAACCTCTCAGAGTCTTCATTTCCTTATTTGTAAAATGGAATGAAAACAGCCTGCTCTGCTTTTTGAACCTAATTATTGTGAGCAAAAAAGTCAGCAATGCATGTTCCAACATTATGTATCCCATTTACCATATGCCAAACACAAAACCAGAAAGCTTCATTTTAAAGCACCAAGCTCCTTCCCAAGGAACAGTTTTTCCTTCTCTTCAGATAGTAAAACTCACTGGCCATAAGAGCCTGTGATCCACAAAAGACAGGATAGATTTTTATTACCTGCTGTAATTAAGTTTAGCCTTGGATTCCAGGCCCAAAGATTTATAAAATGTTAGGCTTTAAACCACAAAACCAAAAAATCAAGCCATTCTTGATTCCTCTCAGGAGAAAGAATGTTTTCTAATCCCATGAGGAAATCCCAATCAGACATACTCAAATTGGATCACACTTTACATTTAAACTAACAATAAGAACAACAATAGAAATAACAATCATCACTAATCCAGATCCAGTTGTTCTTTAATTGTAGGCCAAATCATTCTCTGCAGATCCTGAAGCTTTTCAAAAATGAAGACCAATCCTGAAGGTGAGCTGAAAAGTGTTGTGAGGGTTCCTTCACTTTAATCTACTGCATTTTTATGCAGTGAAATCGGGATAATGTGGAAATCAAGGTCGCTTTTGATGGAAGAGAGGTGACAAAAAGATATCTAGAGGGACAGAAGGAAAGGGAACAGGAGTAGGATGGCCAAGAACAGGCCTACTTAATTTGACTTGCTAATTTCATAAAGAGACTCTGAGCAGAATTGCAGGTGGATTATCCACATACAATCCTCAGGCCTTTCTCTGCACTTTCCTATGCTACATGGTCTTTCCTTCCCACAGGGATCTTTCTCTGGTATTGTCTATCTCCTTAGCAATGAGAGAATGGAGGCTGTTCAAATCACCTGTCATGAGACTGTCACCCTACTCTCTAGGTATGGCTTCACCTAAAATACAATTATAAACATAGAAACTTCCACCTCACAAGTATAGTGGTGATAGCAAAACTCAGAGCATAGCAAAGTGCATTCTAGATGCCAACATAGAAATTATGTTCATTCAGTACATTAAACAGCATTTGTTTCCAAAGAACTCAAACAGAATGACAAAGAAACCACTAACACTTCACTAGATAAGCAAATATAGCACTTTCAATATTATATTAAGAGATGCTTATCAAGAACTTGCAAATTTCCTTACCCTTTGTTCTAGCAATTTGCATCAGGGAATCTATTCTGCAAAAAGCAGCGACTGCATTTTTTTGCATAAACGTGTGCATTGCAGAATTATTTAGATGGACAGAGCTTTAGAAACAACCTAAATATCCAACAATAGTAAAAGAGTAAGTATATTAAGATATTTACATACGGAATAGGTGGTTGATTTACAAAGGGCTAGTGGAATAGAAAAAATTTCTCATGTTAAGATCCACATCAAAATTTTTTTTGTTTACAATATGCACATAAAAGATTAAGTTATAAAATCAAGATTTACCAAAGTTGAAAGCATACATTTTTTCACTCTCTTATAAGAGCATATTTGCATGTTCCTAAAAGAATCAATAAATATACTCTTATAATCCATACATGTTGGGTATTTACGTGTTAAAACTGAAAGTCTAATCTTGTGCTGTCTTTGAAAAACGGCTGTGTTGCTGTGGCTAAAGAATGCTTTACAGAAAAGAAGCATGGTATACTAATGTGAGAAAACGTGCTTTGTTTTTAAATGTGATGGTTTTCTTGGTGACATTTTGAAGTCAATCTTTTCTCTCTTGAATGACAGAATTTCTATATTAAGAGAGTATGTGGAGACAAATAGTGCCTCTCAGTTGCGCAAAGAAGCATATTTAGTATCCAACTACAGAATTCCACGGAAATTATAGAATCTTCAGTCCAGATTTAGGTACCAGAGTTAAGTAGAAATGGTTATAGAACCAGTCAGTAAGAGTATAGCATATACGCAGACCGCCACACAGAGAGTGAGGCATGTGCAAGAGAAAAAAAGTAAGAGTGTAGGAAACAAAGAGTGCAGGAGGAAGAAGAGAGCAAATTGGTAATGATTCTGTAACCAGAGAAGCACTGGCATGAGTGAATAACTCAACTGTAAAGAAGTACAGAATGGATGATAGATATCCCAATTACCCTGACTTAATAATTACACATTCTAATACTCATATGAAAATATCCCATGGATCCCCAAAATATGTACAACTATGATATATGAATACAAATTAAAAGTAAGTACAGAATAAGTCATATCTATCATCACACATGCAGTATCTCCCTTTTTAAAAAGTTCTCAATAAAATACCTTAATCAAATGTGGCTCAGTAATAGTAACACTGAATTTAGACAACTTTATCAATTATCTTATCACTAGAATGGTGTACAAGCGTGATAGTCTTTGATTGGGCATGACCAGGAAAAAGTTGAGGGTTACAAGACTGGTGACCCTCAAGAGAGGAGGTAACATTTGTCGGCCTTACAATTCTCAATATTGATGCATGCTGTGAAAGTGCAAGACATAAGTTATTCTCAATATTGTGAGACCATCAAATGTTACCTCCTCTCTTGAGGGCCACCAGTCTTGAGGCTCTCTTGAGAACTTCCTTCCAATATTAGTCCATAGGACCTCCTGACACATTCACAAGAGAAACAGAGAGCAAGCTGAGTGACATTATTTTTATTCTCTTACTTGAGGGAATATATGTAATTTAGAATGGATTAGATAGCTCTCCTGCATTGCTTTATTGAAGATATGTCTGGAGTCTGCAGTCAGAAATTAGTGAAGTCCTTCCTTATCCATCTGAAAATTTCAAGTTTCTCTAAAATTAAAACAAGAAATAGAAATAGTTTAACCAACGCAGAGACCAGACCCAACACACTAATGCAAATACCCCTTTCCTAGACTCTACTATGGTCGATTCACTTTTCCTTATGGTTCACTTCATGGCAAAGCTGTAATTATAATGCTTAGAAATGTTGACCTTTACTTAATGACTGACTCTCTCATGACCAAGATTAATGATTTGAAAGCCCAAATGCAGATGCTAACAAAAGATAAAGGTGTATCTATCACTTAATGCAATGAAATTTTATTCATTAAAGAACAAGAAACAAAGGCTGATTATATCTTCCTTCTTATAAGCTATTTAAAAACAAACAAACAAACAAACAAACAAAATGATGTTTCGCTGTGTTACGCAGGCTGGACTTAAACTCCTGGGCTCAAGCAATCCTTCTGCTTCAGCCTCCCAAGTAGCTGGGACTAAAAGTGCCCACCACCATTCCCAGCTTATAAACTACTTTTAAATAGCAGTCATTCTGGCTTGTTTTCTTGCATCCAGAAATGAATTCGACTGGTGGCTCATTGTTTCTTTTTCCAGAGTAACATGGTCTCTTTTCCTTTGGTCCACACAGATCCTGTGGATCAACTTCATGTCAGAAAGCAAAAAGTAAAAATAACACCTTGGAGAGCTCTCACTCATCTATTCGCACCAACCTAATCACAATGCTACTGCTTCCAGGATGACCAGGTAATGAGTGTGGTCTATCCAACACGAGGATTCTTTCCAAGGCAATTTGGAGCAAATCAACTAGGCTAATTGGTAATTCAAGTTTTTATCCCATAAAATGACTGTGGCCCAAGGGAATGTATCAGAAACCTGTGCACAAGAGTTTGTATTAGAGTTGTTTATTAACATGGGGATTATCTTCAAACCAATAATAAAAAGCTATAATTGACTCTTTGCAAATGCATAAATATGGGAGCAACAGTGTGCACAGGTTATTACTAAACTGGAAAAGAATTTTAAACATTTCTTGTAATAAATAAATCACCTTTAATAGTGACAAATTGTAGATAAATTGCATAATGCCAATGTATATTTCAAGGTAAGAACTAATAATACATCAATTCTTTTTTGTTCCTTTAAGATTAGAACTCATAAACCCCACAGTGCACTGGGTACAAAATCCCATTGAAAACTCAGAAATGGGACTGATGGGAGAACTGAACTCAGAGACTTCCACAACTCGGAAATATGTTCTTAAAAAGCCATGTATCTTTTTATCTTGGGCTTCTAGGCAACTAGCACAGGTCAAGATAACTAGCATAAAAGGAATCGGGCACTAATTCTGCTACCATCTTGGTGTACGATCTGACGCAAGTCAATGAATCACTATGCATCTCAACTCTTAGATCTAAAAGACAGAATAATCAAGAATTTTATAAGACTCCAATGAGACAATTTATAAGAAAAAGCATTGAAAATAATGCATGCTGTGAGAGCGCAAGACATAAGTTATTAAAGGGCTGATATGTCAGGAATATCAGTAAGTTTCAGAATAAACTGTTACGGTCTATTCTTGATTTGGTTAAGGACATGAGGGTAAATATGCTTATGCTATTCCATTTTATGGATAGCAGTGGTGAGAACCACTGTGGCCAAGAATTTTGTCAATTAATCTGCAAACTTTTCTGACCAATGCTTAGCACTATCAATCTAACTAAGCTGTGTGTGTGTGTGTGTGTGTGTGTGTGTGTGTGTGTGTGTGTGACTTAATCAATACCTAACAAAGATCCCTGGGGTGAAGATCACTCCTATATTATACCTAGTACCACCAGTTATTTGGAGGGACAGGTGTTATCCACTGATCAAATCTTAGGAAGCTGCCCCTCGGAGAATTACAGCTCTGGCACAAGCAGATCATAGACTCAGTTTACACTTCAAGAAACTCTATTTAGTGGTGACTGCACATAGTTCATTTTTTAAAATCTCGCTGCACACAGCCTGATCCTGTACTACTCAAACATGTCAATTGTTATGATTCATTATTCTTCAAAGGCCTCAAGTTGGTACTCAATATTCCACTGGGAGCTTGGAAAACGGATCTGTCCCTTCACTGAGTTATTAGGCAAGTTTCAACACATCTTTTCATCAGTATAAGAGTCTACAGAACCTAGCCTCTGTAAATTCAGAGAAGGGGCCTTGTATTTTATGGCACATGGAAAGGCGTTAGTCACACACAACTTGTTCCCAGTCATAGGCCTCTGTTCAGGCTCCTCTCTTCTCTAGGTTCCCTTAGCCTTACCAGCAAAATCCCTAGACAAATCTTATTTCTTCTCAGACCCAGACAGAGCCTCAGATCCTGTATGAAGACTCCTGCAATGAGGGGAACCATCTTCTCCACTGGAATTTGTACAGCTGTTGTGAGGCTCCTCTTCTCTCTCAATATCGCCTTTTCTACTGCCACTCCTTTCTTGTTAAGGTACTAGCCACTCTAACCACACCTTCTCTCATTCCTATAACCAATCATTTTTAAAAGTCTGGCAGAATCTCTGATCCCAACACCTTCACAGAAAAAAAAAAGTAAAAACAAACAAAGAAACAAACCTGTTATGCATTATAGGAGTGATTTTCAATTGTGTGTATGTGGGGTGGGTGTGTCTTGATGGGAACATGAAAACTCCGAGGCAGATGTGGTAAGCAGATGGGCGGGGCATGTGTAATGTGATGAGTCCTTCCAGGGTGGCCTTATCTACCTTGCTTATAGCCAGCACCACAATCTATTCACATTGTTTGTGCCTCAGCTCAGGAGCTTCTTATTGCTCACTCAATACCTCCCAAATGATTTTCTCACCTACAGTCTTGTTCTCTTTAACCATGACCCAAACCAACCAATTAATTCTCTACCTTGCTTGCTGAATGACCTGTGTAAATGCAGGCCTAATTCTGTCAAGCCCTTCTTAAATCCTTCAGTGTCTCTCTATCGCCTTGAAGGCTAAGTCAAACTTCCCAACAAGGTTGAGTAGGCTACCATTCCCGTTTGGGCTTTCTAGCCCCTTTTTGGGTTTATTTTATTTTTTATATGCATTTTTTTAGAGACTGGGTCTTGCTATATTGTCCAGTGCAGTGGCTATTCACAGGTGTTATGATTTGGCTGTGTTCCCACCCAAATATCATCTTGAATTATACCTCCCATAATCCTCATGAGTGGTGGGAGGGACCAGGTGGGAGGTAATTGAATCATGGGGGCGAGTTTTTCCTGGCCGTTCTCATGATAGGGAATAAGTCTCATGAGATGTGATGGTTTTATAAAGGGCAGTTCCCCTGCACACACTCTCTTGCCTGCTGCCATGTAAGATGCGCCTTTGCTCCTCCTTTGTCTTCTGCCATGATTGTGAGGCCTCCCAGCCATGTGGAATTGTGAGTTCATTAAGCCTCTTTCTCTTTATAAATTACCCAGACTTGGGTATTTCTTCATAGCAGTATGAAAACAGACTAATCAATTTTTTGTGATGGTTAATATTGAGTGTCAACTTGACTGGATTGAAGGATGTAAAGTATTGTTCCTGGGTGTGTCTGTGAGGATGTTGCCAAAAGAGATTAACATTTGAGTCAGTGGACTGGGAAAGGCAGACTCACCCTCAATCTGGAAGGGTACCATCCAGCTAATCAGCTGCCAGCACAGCCAGGATAAAAGCAGGAAGAGGAACATGAAAGAATTAGACTGGCTGAGTCTTCTGGCCTCCATCTTTCTCCCATGCTGGATGCTTCCTGCCCTCAAACATCAAACTCCAAATTCTTCAGCTTTTGGACTCTTGGACCTACATCATTGGTTTGCCAAGGGCTCTCAGGTCTTCAGCCACAGAATGAACGTTGCACTGTTGGCTTCCCTGCTTTTGAGGTTTTGGGACTCGGACTGGCTTCCTTGCTCCTCATCTTGCAGAAGGCCTATTGAGGGAGTTCATCTTGTGATCATGTGAATCAATACTCCTTAATAAACTCATATATATATATATGTGTATACACACACACACACACACACACACACACACATCTATCCTATTAGTCCTGTCCATTTAGAGAACCCTAATACAACAGGCATGATCATAGCATGCTACACAGCCTTGAACTTCTGGACTCAAGTGATCCTCCCATGTCAGTCTCTTGAGTAGCTGAGACTACAGGCTCATGCCACCATGTCCAGCTCTAAGAGGTCATGTACTTTTTTAAATTTTTTTTTCAACTTTTAATTTTTAATTCAGGGGTCACATGTAAAGGTTTGTTACTTGGGTATACTTTGTGATGCTGAGGTTTAGGGTATGATTGATCCTGTCACTCAGGTAGTAAGCATAGTGCCCAGTAGATAATTTTTTCAACTCTTGCCCCATTCCCTCCCTCTCCCTCTAATAGTGCCCTGTGTCTACCGTTGTCATCTTTATGTCCATAGGTACCCAATGTTTAGCTTCCACTTATGAGTGGGAACATACGGTATTTGGTTCACTGTTGCTGCATTTATTCACTTAGGATAATGGCATCCAGCTGTATCAATGTTGCTGCAAAAAACATGATTTCATTCATTTTCATGGCTGTGTAGTAATCCATGATATATATGCACCAGATTTTCTTTACCAAAGATACTCTTGATGGGCACCTAGGTTGCTTCCCTGTCTTTGCAATTGTGAATACTGCTGTGATAAACATGCCAGTTCATATGTCTTTTTGGTAGAATAATTTATTTTCTTTTGGATATATATCCTTTCCTAGCCCAGTTTTCTAAGTGTCAGCCAGCCCTGCACGATTACTTGAAGTTCTCAAAGTGGTGCAAGCTTCTTGCTTTAGAGCATCTATACAGTTGTTGCTCCTGGCTGATTCCTGTTGTCCCTTTTATAACTAAATAGGCTACTTACCTTTTGTTCTTTAAGACCCTCTTCACGTATCACCTCCTCCTCCAGGGCTCTCTTCATCTCTGAAGGCTTTTTAGGAGCCTCCCTTCATTTTCTTTGAACATTAATGATACCACAGTCCTATCTCAATCTCTCACACCTGTCTACTCTCCCAAGTTTCTGTAAGAATCGACTAGTTCCTGTAATTGACAGCTATATGGTGTTACTATTAATTAGTCCCATTTGATTATATCATTTCCTGACAGTCCCAAACACTCTTTGGACTGTGGATTTTCAACATTTGTATCAGACAGCTGGTCAGGTCTACCTGCTATTTTACCATTGCTTGCCTGTAATTTAATTTATCTTGGCCTCAATTCCTCCATCTGTAAAACAACAATGACTATTCTACTGGTTTATATGGTGACTAAGTAAGATAATGCATATACAAAATACAGCTTAATTAATGCCTAATACTAGTAAGAGCTTAATTAATAGTTTCTCTTCTTCCCCCTCCTTCAAATTATTATTATTATTATTATTATGCTAGGCACTTAATAAATACTTGACACATTGAATTAATTAGCTGAGAGCTTTTTATATCTAGGAACCAAATTTCCACTTCTGCTCTCCAGCCAACTTGTGGAAGGTGAAAGGAAGATGGTCAGCATCAAAAGATTCCTCTTTCTAGCACGTGGCAGAGTATTCCACTTTTGCCTTGTAACTGCCATTGAAGGTGATATTTCACCTGATAAAGTCAGTTATGAGATCTCCCATACAGAGTAATGAAAAAGCCTGTAACAGCTAGTGATCTGCCTCCCCTGCTGTTGCCTCCACCGAATAATTTTGCCATAAAAAATAAAGGGGACATCTCCTTTTAGTGAATTATGACAAATTTTAACTGACTTATCCCTCTTGGAACTTAGGAGTGTCCTACTTTCTCCTCCAATGACACTCCCACTGAGCTGACATGTGACACATCCTGGGAATGCATTAGAACTAAAGAGAAAGTTAAGACTGTGACACATCCGTTGGCCCTTTTTTTTTTTTTGCTAAAGGAGGAACATCCCTCCTCCCTTGTCTCCTCAGTCCATAGCTCTCTGTTCTCAGGATCTTTTTAATTCTACTGGCCGGGAAGACATTTATAGGCAAAAGCCCCTGTAGAGCAACATATCCCCCTCTCTATCATATATACTTCTCAAATACCTACTACATGCCAGACACTGTGGCTCTGGGGACACACTGATCAGCAAACAAAGCCCCTGCCCTTATATGATTATAGTGGGGCATGACATAAAGCAAATGTGTTCCTAAAAAATTCCAAGTTGAACAAATGACATTCATACCATACTTTGCGTATGGTGCAAACCATATGTACCAATAATACATGACATCTAAGGCTGAATTTTAAAAATAAGTATTCTTGTTAGAGGCCAGTCATCCCTTAGCAACTGACTATTTCAGCTCTGGCTACAGGGAAGGTGATAATGAGTAACACATATTGAATACTTAATATGTACCAGATATTCTGCTATCTTTTTCAGGTATTTTTACTTGATTATCACACATCTAAATTCCCCATGTGGTTATATGCTTATCGTTATACCCATTTTGTAGATGAGGAAACAGAGCAGTTAAACAATTTGCTCAGCCATATTGTTAGTAAGTGGCCTTGAACCCTGGCAATAGAGCACACGTGCACAGACAGAGAGATTATGACACATTGTCTCCAAAGGTGCTTCAGAAAATCCTAAGGAGGGAGTGAATGAGTGAGGATCATGAATGTGAAAATCAAATCTACCCACGCAACAAAGGACCACTAAATTGCCAAAATGCTCAAGAGCATGATTTACTGTATTCTTCATTTCTGTGTAAATAATGAAAATAAATCTCTCGGCTCCCAAGAGGAGCACATCTGTAATAGTTCCTGCTGAAGATGTTAAAGATGTGTTTATGGAATTTGCAGAATCACTTCCTTCAAAGTTCAATGGTCTATAAGTTGCTAGTGTTATTGTTGTTAAAAGAAACTGAACGCTTAGTACTTTCTGCTTCAATCTCAGGTTGAGATTTGTAAGGAAAACCAGATATCAGACCAGCTCCTATGGAAACTACTCTGTCCAATCAAAAGATATCCTCTTTCCATGAAACTAACTTAACTACCTCACAGGATATTCGAAGCACAATACATAATGTGAAGGGGGAAAACCTTACTTTCCTTCTCCTGTTCTAGTACGCTTTACCAGATGCTCCTGTGGCCAAACCCTAATTGTTCACTTCAAAACAAAAACTACTTAAGCTTCTGGAATGTAACACATCTCTACCAGGTTAACCATTAAGAGACGGAGAGGCAGAGGCAGAGGGGAAACAGGAGCTCCTCTCAGACATCAGGAAGACAAATGCGAATTGTCCCTACAAAAGAAAAAAGATCACCACCTACGTGTTTCTCTATCTTCTCTCACTTTTCTCTGTTTCCTTGTCATCCCTCTTTCTGCCCAGGTAAAGTGGTGGTGGAGAAGGAGAGGAATTCCAGCTAAACAGTGCGTTGGTATGAACCGTAGGCTAGTGAGCCATGTGCATGCTCCAGGGACAGGGAAACTGAAGAGAGTGCACTATAGGACACCAAATGCAGATATAATCAAGGCTTCTTTCTACATGCCGCAACATAGTCAATTTGAAAATAAGCATATCCAGAATGGTAAAGCACTTGCGCAGTAATTCAGCCATGCTCCTTCTAAGTATGAAAATCTGAATATCAAAGCACGGTAAGGAGGGAAGCAGGTGAAAAACAATAATAAAAACAGTGAGTCAGCATTTTTTGAAGCTATCAGAAGCTCAACAGAGCTGAATCTATTATGGGATAAGAATGGAAAGATACAGGTGGAAGAATTGACATACAGCAGCAATATCTTAAATTAACTCCTTGCTATTGAACACATGAGAAACTATAGTGAAAAGTCTCAGTGACTGATTGGTTTTTATGCCTAGAAGAGAAAGCAAATTTTGAAAGTCCTGGCCCTTTGCATTTAGGTCCATAATTAGACAATTAGAGCTCATGTACTACAACAAAGCTCTCAAACAATCATGAAACACAGCCACACTCATTTTAAAAGAAGATTCTTAAGAGTTAAAGAAGACCTTTTAAAAAATACATTGCTTTCACATTTCTTCCAAGTAGCATAGAAATCAGGGAGGAAGAGGAAAAGGAGGTTTTCTATCCATCAGAGGAACAGGAATGGATTTTGGCATGCTTGGCTAAGCATTCTCCCCATGATTTATGGTCTGAGGTGTCACTTACATGGATGGGATGGGGTGGGAGTGGAAAAACTGATAACATGATCTGATAAACACCTGTATCAAAAGCACCTGAATTGCTTGCAAAAATGTGTATTTCTCACTGAATTCTGAAATACTGAATCTCAGCAGAAAACTCAAAGAATCTTCTAACAAGCTCCTCAGTGATTGGCAGGAGCTTTGAGAGAGGCAAGGGCTGAGTAGGTAGGTGGGGAGGTTTGAGGCTGTTGGGCAAAACAGGGTTGCATCCCTTTCCTTAGACAACAAACAGGGCTGCAGGATTTAATAAAATTCCACAATACTTCCAGTGTTAACAATGGTGTATGCTGGGATTAATCCCACATGAAATAATCACAAAATGATACCAGTTAGTATGATGCACTGCTATCCTACCACAGCCGTGCAAATTTTAAGGACAGTCTTTTTTGGATAAGGTCCCACCAGTAGATAAACTCCACAAAGTCTGGCCACCAGGGAGGGTCAATTACCAGGACTACATTGTTTCTCTAGTTCAGATGTGCAGAATATAAGGGCAGTGTGAAGTTCAGCATTACAAAAACAGAAAGCAATTTAGTAATTAGTGAAAGTATTACATGGACAAAACAATAGCTGGGAGATTTGTTTAAAGGAATAAACTAATAACTTTGTTCATACCAACCCATTTCAAATATGGGAAAATAATTTTTAAACATTTAAATAAAACTAGAATTAACGAAATACCTTGGATACACTGGCTAGACAAAAGATTCCTGGTCCTGACTAACTTGAGAATTTCGGCAAATAAGTCAGTTAATTACAAGGAGCCCCGTATGCTGAATGCAGTTGCCCAGGAAATTTGCTTAGGTCTTGCTTAGTCAAATTTGAGAGACAGCTCAACTACCATACCCATGGGGAAAATTGTGGACATTCTTGGAGTATATGCCTTAAATACCATAGTTGAAAATGCCTTAGGTTGTGCAGTGGTAGATGTTTTTTAATGTACTAATTTAATTGATTTATACAATAATATATCTTTATTATTGCACTTAGCACCTTATATTGCAATTAATAAGTTGTATATTTTCTCCCCCTTATTGTCTATAAGGTATAAATTTGACTACAATTGAATTCATTAATTTTAAAATCTAAAAATGCCCAGTATTTTGTGTGATATTATATATATCTTTTGTAAATGCTTACCAAATCAATCCGTCCTTCTAGATTTTTATTTGGTGAAAGGAACTTGTATCAGACAGTGAACACTAATGTAGTGAATCCTAGATTTCCGACAGTGTGCTAAGGGACTGAGGATGCAAATATGAATAGAAAACAGTTCCTGTCCTTGAGAAGGTCATAGTCAAGTTGACCTGGAAATCTCTGTAAGTATTATAATGCAATGGTAAATACATTTGCTAAACAATAGTTCTTTAAAGTACCTAATTTGCTGAATACATTCATATTTCCACATGTTGAGTTTGTTCAAATTCACCTAGGCAATTTATGTTACCAATGCATTTTAATCCTGGGTTATATAGCTAATAAAAATAAGGACATTATTAATTATTTTTTAAATTACATTTTAATATTTAAGTAATCCTAATTAAGGGCATTAAACATGTAATTAATGTTTGTTTCATTATAAACTTGTCTAAGCATATAGCTGTACGCTAAAAACAAATACAAATTCAGATTTACCACTGTGAATGCTAAACTTTATCAAATAGTACAACTCTGGCCGATAATTTATCATATTCTGCATTTGTTGATATAAAGACAAACTGCAAAAACACTAAGTGTATTTCTAATTATAAATAGGATTTCTACTCAGGCCTAGGGACAGTGAGTTTTTATAAATGTGCAACCAACCCCTTTTCCCATGAGTCTGACTGCAGTTCTTTCTCCATGGCTGATACCAAGGAAGAAATGTTGAGACTACTCTTTGGGATTCTCTGCAGTGTATTTGCTAACCATGTGGAAGAAGTATGTGGGATATTTTAATGAAAAGGGCAGTAAAGTTAGGGATAAAGAGACACACCTTGGTCAAACCAGGTAATAACTAATATGACTTTAGAAAAGAAAGCAACTTGCTCTATTGTGCAGGCTGGAGCGCAGTGGCATGATCACGACTCACTGGAGCCTCCATCACCTGAGCTCTAGCCATCTTTAAACCTCAACCTCCTGAGTAGCTAGGACTACAGGTGTGCACCCTGATGATTTTTTTTTTTTTAATTTTAGTAGAGATGAGGTCTCACTATGTTGCAGAGGCTGGTCCTGAACTCCTGAGCTCAAGTGATCTGCCCATGTCGGCCTCCCAAAGCGCTGGGATTATAGGCTAATTAGGGTTTCTATTTCTTTTCTTACAAAAGGAAAACATTTGACTAGGAAGTCTCTCAAGTCATTTCTTGCTTTAAGTCTATGATTCAGTGGTCAGCAGTAATCTCAGAGAAGATGCTATGTGGAAGGGATAGCTGGTTGCAGCTGGGTCACCGAAAATCACCACGAAGTTCATACCCTTAGTAAAATTATTTTACATATTGATAGCTCACAACTCCCTCAACCTCACACTCTACATCCACTCCCCCCATCAATTTCCATACATGCTTTTGGGTTATGGAGTATCAGCAGGCAGTGACAACCACCACGAACAACAACAACAACAACAACACACACACACACACACACATACACACACACACTCTGAACTTGAAAACGAAAACTTCTTGGGATTTTCAGGGCATGGTCTCAGCTACCCAGCTTCCTGGGAAATAAAGAAAGTAGCAAGTGTTAACACCTCATTTTTACCTATCAACAGTTACAGAAAAACATGTAAATTGTTCCTTATACATCAATGTATGAGTTTTTGACAATGCTGGGGGATAAAGCTATTATTTCTGGGTTCTGCTTAAGACACGCTCCTTTGTCCTCCCTACCACTCAGATATCTATAGTTCATACAGTACCAAAAACACCTCTTTCCACCTAGAGGGCTCTTAAAACCTGCAGTTAAGCAAGAGCAAGCCAAAACAAGTCTATAGCATCACAGATGGGTTATCCAACTCAATCACAGACATTCCCCTAATCTCCAGCAAAGAAACCTGCTGTCTCTCTAATGCACTAACATCATTTCCCTAGGGCAAGGTCTGATTTCTCTGAGTATATTATTCATAGAAATATTATACATTTTGATAAATGTAAATAGAGGATAAACTCAGTCAAAAACAATTCACAGGTTAGAGGAGGTTTAAAAGAGATGGGAGCGAGAAATCACTTTTTCCTGTATTTGTTTTCCCAAGGTTTCTCACCCCTCTGCAGAATGAGATTCTAGGTTTAGAGACATTAGGAAACCAGTAACCACGGGACCCGTTGCCTGGAAACGGCCTGATTACAACGAACTCACTAGGCTACAAGGAAATTCTACCTGATCCTTTAGGACCATTTGCCAAGCCTCATTATGATGATAAAGAAAATTTATACTTTCATAAAGCCTTCAAAAATTATTGCCATGAGGTTCTGAAAAATCTGAGCATCTGCTTTGGGGAAGAAATGGGAAATTAACATGACCATCTAGTGTCAAAAACTGACAGCCTAGACAAAATAAAGAAAAATTCGTTCAGCATCAGGCGTAGAATTCAGAAATCAAAAATCCAAATTCAATGCTGAACAAATAATGTTTGGGAATTGTACTGTCTGCCATGGGGGTGAGAAGCCAAGGCAGCCGGAAAATCACTAATAAGGGGCATTTGTATTCTGCAGCAGTAGAACTTCACTTGTGCTTCCCTGTACATCTAAGAAGAACTTTCAATCCAATGCTGCCATTAACAGCTGCTTTGAAACATACGCCATTTGGTTTTGTTGCCCTTGACAGGTGAACAAGATTTGTCAGGGAAATAACATTATAATAATATTGCAGAAGTTTAACAAATTCTAAGAATGTCTATAAATGTTTAAGACAATTAGTAATCACTCTGAGAAAACAGAGTCTATTTTACACTTTAGTGAAAGAAATTTTTATAGCTAAATGACTGTAGGTATATATATTTGTGTGTATATTTGTACACGTACATAATTTTATATTTTATATATATATATATGATAGATGATAGATAGATTTTTTCCCCTTTCAAGAACAACAGGAGTTACCAAATGCATCAGTGAATTCTGGCTCCATTAAAAGTTTTCGTTGTTGTTGTTAATGATCTACTTACAGTTACATTGGACTAAGGTGCGTCTCACAGGGAGCTCAAATGTGACTTTGGACCCATCTTAATATGGACTTTGCCATTAATTAGGTCTATGATTAATTTTTAGATCATTTATCATAATTTGCTGGAGCATAAAATGCAAATTTCAGTGAAATCTAACCATAATTGCTTACAATTAAATTTTTTATATCTATTGTAGGAAATAAATTCAGCATATTCTTTTAAATTTTTTATTACTATTTTTCAAACACTTTTTTGAGGCATGATTCATGAGTCCATTCTTCATAGATAAATGCTCAACATTCCAGGGCCACAGGGATTAATAGAGACTGGTAGAGAGAGAGTAAAGTAATTAGCTTAAATTTTGCCATAGATGCTATGGGAAGCAAGCCATTTTCACTTTAAAGGGACTATTTTTCCATACTTCAGATATTCAATACATATCCACAGTACTCTCAAATATGATTCCAGGGTAAAATGTAAGGCCTCTAAGCCCTAGGTTTCAAGGAATGTATCTTAATTACGTTTGAACCCTCAGTACTTATTTCAGGCCTAGCACACAGTGGATACTCCCAAATCTCTGCTGAACTGAACCAGGCCATAGTATCATCAGAGGAAGTGATATTCTACTTTAGAGCTAACTGAGACAGACAGGGAAATAAAAAACGGACTGCAGATTGTACTGAAGAGAGTGCCTGGAAGGATGATGGTCATAGATTACATGGAGAAACAACTAATGTCAGAACAAGAAATCTTATGATCATCATTTGACCTCTACCACCCATTCCCCATGCCAGTCACTCTATATATTACCGTCAGGATTATTCTCCCAAAACGCAAAATCATAACACTATTCAACTGCTTGAGAACTTACAATAAAAAAAAATAAATTATTCATTGCAATTATCTTTGTCTTCAAGCAACTTAACAATTTGGTTGCCTAGATAGAAATAACACATGATACTTTTTATAAAATAGGAATTGAGAGAAAAGTCAGGACAGTGTGAGCTAAACTGTCAGTAGAAGCTGCCTAATGAAGGAGGGACTGGAACCAGGTCTATTTATTTGAAAGAATAAATAGTAGAGGAGGACCATTCCAGGACAGGTAAGAAACAAGCAAAAACACAGAGGTGAGAATTTGAATAGTACATTAGAATAGATACAAAGATACATTTGGAGATGGGTTGCGGGTAAGAATACCAGTTTTGGCTGGAATCTTGGAAGTCTGAGGCATTTTCCGTGAAGGAAGTATTTAAAAGGATGCTACGAGTTTCCAGGAATATTCATGAAGTGCTACTGGTGAAATAGATAGCATTTGTGATGAACCTAGGGACACACTGATTCATTCATTTGGTAAGTGTTTTTGGAACACCTGCTATGTCCTAACCACTAGAGATAAAGCAGTAGACAGAATTCCTGCCCTAATAAAACTTATCAGGGGTGAGAGTACACAAATGATAACAAAACAGATAAGTTAGTATATAATAAAAGGTCAAGTGCCATAGCAGGTAAGGGTCTAAAGAATGGGAGAATGTATTCTAAAATATTAAAACTTTACCGTCTCCCAAAATATCTAGTACAGACATGGGCATGCAATAGAAATACCAGGTGACTGGAGTACTGCCTGCTGAATACAAGTCCTGGGGTTATGGGATACAGATTTTCTCCTAATAAAACCTGAAACAATCAATCAGAACTCTATGAGGTCTCCGATGTGCTTGCCTAACACATAAAAATGCCTGGGCGCAACCCAACCTCACCTAAAATGGGAGGATATCTGGGATAGGCTCCTGCAGCATACAAAGTTGGATATATTGCAGGGTTTTCGAAATTCTTTCCACATTATCTAGGATGAGCTGCTGATAATAAACAAAAAGTTTTCATTAAATATTTGTTAGATAATATGCCTATGACTGCTAGGTGCTATAAAGATTAAAATAATAAAAGATGGTCATGGCATTGCCTTTCTTAAAAAAAAATCAAACATAAAAGTAAACTTAAAAGTCAGGAAAAGATAAGTACAGTAATGACATCAAAATGAGCTTGGTTTTACAAAAAAAAAATTGTACAAAGGAGTTCAGGAGCTCCTGTGATATATGAAACTTGAAAAAAGGAAGGCCACTTATATAAATGCTTGTGTTTTCTTGAGTCTTTGAGATATTTAAATTCTATGGGAGCAAGCATTATGAATGTGATTTTCAAATTACAACACCTAATTTGTTCTGACCCATCCTTGGTCACTGGTTGAATTTTTTATATCTCAAATGCCATCCTCAAATATGGGCCAATGTCCACACAGAGGTAACTTTCCATGTAAAAAATTGGCAGGAACAAGTGAGAAAGGGAGGTGCTTACACTGCCCTTTCTGTAGGACGTATTTGCACTGACTGAGTTAATGTTTATGGGCTGTAGATATTCATTGAGACATAGTATGGGGTGGCTAAACTCAATGCCCTACAAAGAGAAACAAAAGGAGGAGCCTCGTCCATCATATTGCCAATAAAGAGCAGTAAAATTACTTGACAATATAAAGATAATACTTTGCTTTCCCACTGTGCTTGGTTCTTGCTAAAATGTTATTAATGAAAGGAACTATTAGATCCCAGTAACAAGCTGTCATACAACTACTTTACCTACCTAATTTCCTTTCCCACTCACCCATAATATTTCCTGTTTCTATACAGCAGTCATTTGGACTCTACAATATTTCAATCTGTCTCATCTCCATTATTGGTAGCACTACTCCCCAATCCACACTCCTGCTCTGTGCAAAACTCCTGTCTCCTCATTAATTCTATTTATTCAACTCCTTCAACCTTTGTCCAGAGGGTCTCTTTTCAGATCAGACATTCTGTTTTGTTTGTTAATTTATAGCTTTTGACATTTATTATTATCTTCCAATGAGACACAGAAAGAATATAAGAAGTTAAATGTTTTCACAAGCAACCCTAGATTCCTGTGTCCCTTTGCGGGGGAGGAAAATAGAAAGAAATAAAAGCTGCCAGATAGAAGGCCTGAAATAAATGACCTGCACCACCCATAGGCAAATTCTACCTCTTTGTAAAGAATGTTTCATAGGAGGGAATCAATAAGAGCTGAATATGAAACATTGGTGCAGTGCACTAGCTAAGTTCAGTGAACTCCCAAGCTAATCCTGTGTTCTCAGAAGCTATAAGCGCCAATCTCTTCACCTTTGCTCAGGGGGATGAGCTCACCACAGAAACTGGCCTGTTTTTTGACCTCAAAATCCAGTTGGGACAGGGTTGGGGGATGGCAGAAGCAATGAAAGGGAAGGTTTCCAGGCCATTTGTTCTAAACTGAGGTGTGCTGGCAGAAGCGAAGGACAAGGTTGAGTCTCCATGGCCCTGAGCTGGGTCACACAGCTGGAATCACACTTTGCTCAACACAAACGTCTTTCACTTTTTCATTCACCCACAAGCAACACAAGGACTGCAACAGAACACTGATGAGAAGAAACAGGCCCAGCGCCACTGGTCACTGTCAGTATCTAGGCTACCTAGTAAAGCAACCCCCACACGACCCGGATGCTAAATAAACGTTTACATCAGCTCATGTTTCCCTATGACTAGCTGATCAGTATATCGAATTGAAATATAATAAACACCAAAAGGAATGCTGGCAGGAGGCTCAGTATTTTCAGTTTTTGTACAGGTTTTTTGAAAATCACATCACATTTGTTCCCTTTAATGATACTGTTGTCTTACAGAAAAATACTCATTCACGTATTAAAATTTCATCACCATATCTAAAGCGACATTCCTTTTTAAAACAACAACAACAAAAACTAAACCAAACTTACTAAAAAGCCCCAAATGTCTACACTGAAGCAACTCAAATGAAATGGTCTAATCATAAAATTAAACACATTACAGATGAGTTGATTTGAGGGCATTTAGTACATTTGAGTATACTCGATATTTCAGTTTCTTTAACCTACATTCCCTAAAAGTAACACTAAACAGTGGTTCTGTGTATATGACACAGTAAAAATGCATATATTTATTTCTGAGGCTGTATATTAGCTGATTGTGAATCACCCTTGAAAGTATGTTTTATAAAATAATGTTCATGCAAATTCTACTAAATGTATGGTATACTTTATACAAATATTAAATATGAAGGGAACTGGTATATAAATAATCAATTGACTAGACTATGCATTTAATATGTATTTCATGACATAATATTAGCTTTTATAGGAATCACTACTTGAAAAAGCAGACCATTAAACTGAATTTGAGTTTCAATGACTCAAGTTCTAGTTCCTTTTAAATGTGTCTGGACAATCTGGTTGTATCACTTGCTTCTCATCCATAAATTTTTTCTTACCATTTATGAAATGCTTGTTATGATAAAAATTATTATACCACATATACATTTCTATTCCCATCCCAATCACCAATCGAATTTCTAAACTATATCCCTATGATCTAAAATAAACCAATTAAACAATAACAAACAAAACTTTATGCATCTACTTATTCATACTGATTACATATATTATTTTTCTTGCCTTGTCTTTACCACTAGTATATTAATTCTTAAGCCCAAGAACTTTGCATTCCTACTGCTCTACTCCATCCTTTGCTTTAAGCACAAATTAGAAAGAATGTAAACCAACACTATAATTTGTCTCATGATAGCTCCAAGATGGTCTGATTTACTGTGTGGTAAGAATATCTCCTATCCTGCATTTCAATCTCCATCCAGGCCTTCAAATAATACTGTCTATCAGTTAATATACAGCATTCCCAGTTGAATATGATTCTCTAACAGTAGCAGACAGAATTGTTCTCTCGGTATCCTGTGGGGCCTAAGAGGACAGTCAAAATCTCAGCAACACTGTATTTTCCTTGCTTCTGTGCCATTCTAACAATTTCTTCCCCTGGGAAAGCCTCATCTTTTCCTTAGATTTGTGTTTCTGGACTCACTGATGAATTTAGATTCTATTCAAATGTGCTCGCACTGCTATGTTCTATTATGATCTGGAAAATAACTATTATTGTTAGCAAGCAAATGTTAGAGTTTTTATTCCACTAACACATGCTTTGAGAATCCCTAAGTTCCTGTTTATGACTTTGCAGATAACAAACAAAACTATAAAGAGTGTAACTACTTATTGGGCCTTTAAAGACACGAGAGATAATTTATTAGAGGACACGCTCAGTGTTCTGTCCAGGTGGTTGCTATCAATTACAAACAGAAGTCTTCCCAAATATTCACTTAATGAATAAATTGAAAGGAAGATCAAAATGTTTTTCATCCACAGAAAGACCTTTGCCACAGCATTGATATGCTGGTACTTTTGTCTTAACATTTTGGTCTCTTATAATCTCTTGTTTAAAAGTCAACTTTTTTATGTAAATGTCTCTCAGTTTATCCAGGGTGATTCTTTTCTGTTGGAATGAGAAGCATTATCTCTAAGCATGCATTTATGTGTTGTTTAATTGGGTGTGGTGTGGTTGTTGGCTCTGTGATAAGAAAGCGTCACAGTCTCCGACCTCTAGATGCTTAAAATCTAAGATGAAGTAAATATCCCAATATATTACTGTGGACCCAAAGCATAATGGGCCATTTAAAATCATTCTATGAACAAATCGACTGTCATTTTGACAGTACTGAGAACAACATATATCCCTTCACATTTCAGCTTGTGTTGGATCATTAGGCACAAGTTTGAACAATTCCAGGGAAAACTTACAAACACATTTTGAAATAAAATTTGGATGTAAAATATCAAGACTTAACAGAAACATTTTACAGAATGATTTACTTCACAAAATTATGTGGTCCGTACTTCTTTCAAATAACATATTTTCTGCTGGATTTAAGTAAGCTTAATTGACATGTTATCATTTATATAGAAAATTAACATGTCCCTGATTTGTCAGGTACAACAAGAATGTACAAAGGAAGGGCCACATATACTGCAGGAATTTTAAGCTATTCTCTTATCTTTTATTTCAGAGCATTCATAATTTTTAAATGTTGCAATAACCTTTTGAGGCAATACTGGTGACTTCTTCATTTGACTAAAACATCCTTGCATATCAACAATTGAACAATTGAAACACTTTAACAAAATCTAATGTGTATATATATAATATTATATGTATTATATATGAAAAGTATGCATGTCATACCATACATATAGTGAGATATATATATATATATACACATACACACACACACACACACACACATACATACTTATGCCATCAGAGAACATTTCATTTAGATTAGTATGAAAATTCAAAAAGGAGTTAAGTCTCATTTTTATGGAGCTACACCCACAAATCCCCCAGGCTACACTTAGTTAAAACTCTGAAAGAAATTTTATTCTGAGATTGAGCTCCTGCCACATCACACTGTCAATATCCAATATTCTGAAGCTACAAGGGCCAGTGCCCACCGATCCTAGTCCCATTTAAGGAAATGCAATGCAATCTAATGCCAGTTCTCAAAGCACGTAAGTACATGCTGAAATCAAAGATTTAAGTGACCATTTATTTTGTCTTGTATCTGCCTGAGAAAACCCTTTGCCAGCCAATTTTCTCCTATTAGAATTAGCTTTCAAAGTTAGAATGTCATTTGCATGCTTGCAGACAAAGCTAACAATTTCAAATCATGAAAATGTGTATTCTCAGATGGTGAATATTTGCTTTTTTAAGTACAGAGAGTAGAAACCGAGCTAGTCTTACTAGATTTTATATATTGCTTAAATTAACGGCCAAAAAAAGCCTCCAAGGGGTAAATTGCCTTTTTGTAATATTACCTTTAATTTCTTTTAGCAAATGGGATATGAGGTTTAAGTGGGTTGAAGAAAATCAAGTAAAATATTTATGGTATACAATTTTCTATGGTCATATGCCTAAAAGCAAACATTTTGTGGTTAGTTTACTATGAATGTACCAGGGCTAGCAAGGGAGTCTTTTGCAAGACAGTTGATTTTTAGAAACGCTTACAGGTTGAAACTACAAGCTCCTAATAACATTTAACAATCAGAATTGCTTTGGAGACCAGCCTATGTTGGCTAACGCTGGCTACTTAGGCTCTGCAAAGTTTTTGTAACTATTTTGGCAACCAAGTACCATAAAACCAAGCATTCCATTTTACATCCAATGTGTCTGTGCTGGCATTAAGTAATACCAGGAGAGTATTTTAAAGGTTCAAGGTCAAATACTTGATATTCCATTGAGTAAAATATAAAAGAAAATACTGCACATCATCTAAATATCCTAAAAGGCTAAGTTCTAACCAGTATAAGTCCACAAGGGACAGAAAAGTAGCATGATGAAATAAAAAAGAACACTGGACTGAGAATTAGGCCTTGGGCAAATCAAATCCATTCTGAGTCTAGCTTCTCCACTTCTTCAAAGAGGGTAATAATACTGGCTTCACTGACCTCTTTGGATAAAAGCCTGCATGTAGAAATGCTTAAAAATGTAGACAATTTAATACAAATATTAGATAATACTATCATTTCCATTTCTCCTGATAATCATGCAGCAGGTCTCTGAACAAGACCTGTGTACTGTGTTATTCATAACATAACTTGAGAAGAGGTGGTAGTTTTTACACACCTCCTCCCCCCCTTTTTTCTTTACACTTGATCAGCTTCAGAGATACAGTCAGTTACTAAACTCCTCAGACACTTTTAGCAGCATCAGAAGCAGCTGCCACTTGCAAACCTGTCAGATTCCACAGGGACTAAGGATGTAAAAACAATGAGTCATTACAGGTGTGTCTGCCTTTTTCATTAAAAGACAAAATGAAAAGAAGATGAAATTCACCCAACTCAGTGTTTTTAAGGCAGAAAGTAAAGAGATCAACCAGGAAATACTTTATTCCTTTAATTCATATGACAGACATTCAAATATAACATAGTAATTGTTTTTAAATAGACTGTTACTGTGCTGGGTGCTCCCCCAGACTACGAAAAAGAGTGCTATCTAACTTCAAGGAACACACTGTTCGAGAATAACAATATGGGGCATAATGGTAGCATACAATTAATTCTAATTCCAGGTAGAACCTTGGTGAGACAAGAGGTAGTAAGAAGGCCACTGGAATGAACAAAAGGAAGGTGGCAGGATCCTTAAAAGGTTTAATGAAAGAGACAGAGATGACATTTGAGATAATTTTGAATGATTCCTGGGATCCTGGTAGGAGAAATATCAATGAAGACAGAAACTAGAAAGAGGGATATGTTCAAAATTGAGAAGTCTAAGTTGTTTCAAGAATATCCTGCTACAGTTTCCCTGTCTACCCAAATGTGCATATGTTTGTGCAAGCTGCTGATGTTCGTTTGTTACAAAGGTGACATGAATAACCTAAATTTATAAAACATCTTTAAAACTGGCAAATAATACAGAATCTCTATGGATTACAAATAAAACATTTACTATACATGTAATCATGTTTTAGAAATTAAAAATAAATTAAAATATGCAAAACAAAGATTACATATAATCCCACCACCCAGGGCTATTTTGATTTATGCCTTGCCAAGACTATGTCTCTGTACCTATATACATCTACATTTTTTTTCTTCTTCTTTTAATTATACTTTAAGTTCTGGGATACATGTGCAGAACATGCAGGTGTGTTACCTAGGCATACTTGTGCCACAGTGGTTTGCTGCACCCATTACCCTGTCATCTATATTAGGTATTTCTCCTAATGGTATCCCTCCCCTAGCACCCCTCACCCTGACAGGTTCTAGTGTGTGATGTTCCCCTCCCTGTGTCCATGTGTTCTCACTGTGCAACTCCCACTTATGAGAACATGAAGTGTCTGGTTTTCTGTTCATGTGTTAGTTTGCTGAGAATGATGGTTTTTCAGTTTAATCCATGTCCCTGCAAAATACATGAACTCATCTTTTTTATGGCTGCATAGTATTCCATGGTATATATGTGCCACATTTTCTTTATCCAGTCTACCACTGATGGGCATTTGGGTTGGTTACAAGTCTTTGCCATTGTGAACAGTGCAGCAATAAAAATATGTGTGGCAGGGCGTGGTGGCTCACGCCTGTAATCCTAGCACTTTGGGAGGCCAAGGCGGGTGGATCACCAGGTCAGGAGACCGAGACCATCCTGGTTAACATGGTGAAACCCCATCTCTACTAAAAATACAAAAAATTAGCTGGGCGTGGTGGCGGGTGCCTGTAGTCCCAGCTACTTGGGAGGCTGAGGCAGGAGAATGGCGTGAACCTGGGAGGTGGAGCTTGCAGTGAGCTGAGATCGCGCCACTGCACTCCAGCCTGGGTGACAGAGCCGGACTCCGTCGCAAAAATAAAATAAAATAAAATAAAACAAAACAAAATAAAATAAAATAAAATAAAATAAACATGTGTGCATATGTCTTTACAGTAGAATGATTTATAAACCCTTGGGTATATACCCAGTAATGGGATTGCTGGATCAAATGGTATTTCTGATTCTAGATCCCTGAGGAACCACCACACTGTCTTCCACAATGTTTAAAATAATTTACACTCCCACCAACAGTGTAAAAGTGTTCCTATTTCTCCACATCCTCTCCAGCATCTGTTGTTTCCTGACTTTTTAATGATCTCCATTCTAACTGGCGTGAGATGGTATCTCATTGTGGTTTTGATTTGTATTTCTCTAATGACCAGCGATGATTAGCTTTTTTTCATATGTTTGTTGGCCATATAAATGTCTTCTTTTGATAAGTGTCCGTTTATATCCTACACCCACTTTTCTTGTAAATTTGTTTAAGTTCCTTGTAGATTCTAGGTATTAGCCCTTTGTCAGATGGATAGACGGCAAAAATTTTCTCCTTTCTATACAGATTGCTTTGTAATGTGGTTTTTTCACTTACTAGTATGTTTGAATAACTTTTCATGACATTAAATATACAAAATACAACATAAAATTTACAATATAATTTTAATGGTTCCCTGATGTACTATTGTATATGTTGCCCATCAGTTTATTTTATGAGTCTATATTATTTCTTATCCAGTTTACCTTTATTTTCTTGTATAAACAATAATGGCATGGTCATCCTTTTAAATTAATCATTATTTCAGCTCTGAATATTTATTTAATTCTAGGATTCCAGTTACTGGGCTCTTCTAAACTGTCTTCCAAAGAGTTATACTGATTTTCATTCTTCACTAATGGGTTAGCCTTGGTCTACTCATGTTCTTTTTAATGTTGAATATTTAAGTTCTAATTTTTCTTACTACTAATATTTGAAAATATTTTTCTTTGAATATTAATTATGTTGAACATTTAAAAATTTGTTTATTAACCACTTTTTTATATGATATGAAATGACTAATCTCCATTAAAATGTTACAAGTCTGTTTTGTGTGTTTTGTTCATCTTTGCTTTTCCGGTAACCATCCTCTGGGTATCTTTCTCTTAATTAATTGTAACCTCCTATGCATACTACACTAGGACACATTCTTAGGTTTAGGTGTTTATCCACACTTAGTGCCATAGACTATAAAGGGTCTGAGATTTTATACTACTTAAAAGGTAACAAGTTAACCTGCTGCAGTTTTATGAATGCTAGCACAAAATTCCAGAATCCTAGGCCAGAGATGAAGTTCATTACTTGTAGCAAAAGCAGCAGCCAGAGTATCAGCAATTTTTTGTGCTGGTTCCATAAACCTCATTTTCCTCAAGGAAATGCAAAGACAGCCATTTGGTAACTGCACTTACACTGGGTTGTGTTATAAGAGAACTCTGAGCTCAGAGAACCCAAATATTTTATAATGGGCAGTAAATCTGACTGCCCTTTGCTTCAGAGAGAAACATTATATTTATTATACTGAAGAATATATGCATGGAGGGAAACCCTATATCTGTGTTCCAAGGCCATTCAGGATACAAACATTCCTTGAAATGAAAGTCTGGGGAAAAAAAAAAAAGGACGTCAATGTCTTGCCAGGCAAACATGCAGAAATGCAAATGACACATAGGAAATTATCTCCAAGCGCTTAGCCCTGAACATGTAGAAGAGAATAAAAGATTTTGTGAAGGAAGGAAGGAGAGTGATTCAAAGGCATTCAGCACTCAAACTTGGTTCCAAACTTAGCCTTACCTGTGAAACCTCACGACAACAGTAACACACCAGCCAAATAAAAACGTAGCTTCTGGTCAAGCTGATTTCTAAAAACCAGACTTTCTAAAGAGGTTATATAAATAGTGACTTTTCACTTTATAAAGCAATTCTCTACAGAATCTTTAAATATCAAGTTATTCTGGTATGATTGGAAAGTAAATTCATCTAAAAATATTTATGCCTTTTTATTCAGCATATTAGTTAATAGAGTATGCTCAGGATGAAACTGCCTCAATTCGGATCTGGCTCTGTGTGCTGGTTGAGTTATTCAGCATGCTTCAGTTCCCTCTGCTGTAAACTGGGGATACTGATGGCTATTAACTCCATCCTCACAGAACTAGTAAAAGGTGCTTTTGTCACTGCATGATACATAGGAAACATTCAACAAATGTTAGTTGTTATTAATTGTATTACTATCACCGAAAAATAAGTCATTCAGTTGATATATTTTCTTCTGCTCTTTTCCTCTATGTTTACAATTAACTACAAAATGTTTTCTTTTCTTGAATGACAGGGTAGATGCTAAACAAAAGATTTACCAAAATCTAACTCTAATAATAAATGGGTTAAGGTTTCACTCAAATTATAGGTTATTTCCAAAATTAGGAGAAGGGAAAATATTTTTTTAAAAAAAGGATGATACACTTTGGGAGGCCGAGGAAGGCGGATCACTTGAGGTCAGGAGTTTGAGACCATCCTGGCCAACCTGGTGAAATCCCATCTCTACTAAAAATACAAAAAATTAGCCAGGTGTGGTGGCTCATGCTTGTAGTCCCAGCTACTCGGGAGGCTGAGGCAGGAGAATCACTTGAACCTGGGAAAAGGGGTTGCAGTGAGCCGAGATCATGCCACTGCACTCCAGCCTGG
Source organism: Homo sapiens (assembly GCF_000001405.40). Classification (NCBI taxonomy): domain Eukaryota; kingdom Metazoa; phylum Chordata; class Mammalia; order Primates; family Hominidae; genus Homo; species Homo sapiens. The sequence goes on from NC_000002.12 coordinate 50,782,446, forward strand.
GTGACACAACGAGACTCTGTCTCAAACAAACAAACAAACAAACAGCAAAAGAAAAGGATGATGAATTCCTAAAGCTGGATTGTAGCACCTGCGATAACTTCTTTATTTCTATACTTTTGTATAGTGTGCTAACAAAGAACCCAAAAATAAGAAAAAAGAAAAAAGTTGTATAACATTTAAAGGTCTGTAACATACTATTCACTTAACACAAACAACCTATGAAGCTCAGGGATAGAGTATTCAAATATTTGTGGGGGGCAGCAGAGGGCTGCATGGCATTCCTCTCCAGAATGTAATCATTATTTCTGGGTTATGGCTGGTTCTAAACCTAACAGTAGTGACTCATCCTTTTCCAGAGATTCTGAAGTAGATGGAAAATGCATACTTGAAGAAAAGGTGGTGAACAAAGAGAGAGAAAGACTAATAAATGGTGGCTCTATTGCAAAGGCAAAGCTGTTGAACAAAGTGGGGGAAATGAGAGAACTCTGTGCAAACTAACTCATAGCATTTTTTAAAGCTTCATTATGTTTCTGAGACTTGCGCTCTGATAATGTGTAAAGAACCATTTTTTCCCCTTTCACCACCGCCCCATTCTGTTATCTGTTACGTCTATTTCATATTTGAGACAGATGAATTTTGGAAAAGTTATGTAATTTGGTCAAGATCATGCATGTAGTAAACAATACATTTAGGATTGAATTCTAGTTTAAAAAATCAGTTTTTGTGTTATTTTCACTGTAGTAATATAGCATCAGCTGAACTTGAATTCCAGCCAAGTGCTTGTTCTCCTAAAGCCTACATCGCAATCTACTGAAATAATTCTTGGCCAACCCAAGCATCAAATAAAGAATAACCTCACCTTCTGGTGCTCAGCCAGCATGGGGATTCTGTTAAATTGTGGGTGTAGCTGATATTCTTGGTTACCTGGGGATCCTTCTGCTAATTTTGGAACATATTTGGCTTTTCTTAAGCTCTCGGTCTGTGACTTTTTAAACTATTCAGCTGTATCCTGGCTATGTCCATGTCCTCAGAGAATAAAACAAAATCATAGATCAGGGTATTCTTTTTATTTTGTCCTGGACACTCTCATTCCCCAGATAAATCACAGGCACAGTCATAAATCTATGGAAAAGAACAGTACAATTTCCACTGGAAAGGCATTCTCTATCTTTTCCACATTGTATCCACTATTCACAGTGAATTGCTACTAAGAACATTTTTCTCTCTAGTACTCTAGCTACATAAAACACTTGGTAATATACATACTAGTTTATTGTTCTTCACAGGCAAACATAGTGCTACTTTTCCAAGTGTGGGAATAACTCATTCTGAACCACTGGTCCCCCAAAGGCATATCCATATCCCTTACCTTGGCTTTGACAGGAATTATAGGAGTAATGTAACTATTATTTGGTAAGAAAGCTGATAGTAAACCGTGTCTTCTCCTTATTCCTGACCCTGCGCTTATACTTTGCCTAGCCTCATATTTAAAGAATACCTTCCACTTTTCTCAAAGCTACAAGTAACAAATATTCAACACTTCACAGAGTCAGGTCCAGCAATCTTCTGCTGAGGTCTAAAACCTTGCAAAATTCTGGAAAATGGTATCCAGGTAATATTGTGGTTTTGTTAGTTAAAAGTATATCTGAGTATATGTGTGAATGTGTATGGGTGGGTATGTATGTGTGAGACAGATTGGAAGTTTCTTCAATAAATATATTACTTTGAGTAATATCAGGAATTGTGCTAGGCACTAGGGTTATAAAATATATCATAAATGAATCGAGTCCTTAAGGAACTTTGCTTGTTACACTTTTATCAAAGGGTCAGATGGAGAAAAAATGCTTTTACTATGCCATCCTGAGTACTCGGATATAAATGTGCACAGGGTCCTGTGGGAGCAGAGAGAAGGGTGATTTGGTTTCCAGGGACAAGTTGTCTTGAAGGAGATGGCAGTAGAAGCAATGAATGCATAGGAGTGACCCTGGAGAAGAAGAATGTGGAGGATGTTGCAGGTAGAGGAAAAGAAAAGCATGAAAAAACATGGTGAGTATGAAAAAACATGAAAATTCATTATTATTAATTAAAGTTTGGGAAGGGAGTGGTAGAGTTAAGGCTCGACAGATATTATGATGAAGACATTATGTAAGACCATATGGACATAATCGGAAGCTTAAAATTTAACCTGTAGGTAATGAGGAATCATCAAAAGGCTTTATGGCTAAGTGTGGCAAAACAGTTTGCCATTGAGGCAAGCTGGTCAAGGATGAAATGGGGTTAAGATCCTAGGCAGGGAACAAATTAGGGAGCTAATGAAAGAGACAGTTTCCAGAAGATATGATGAGGACCTGGACAAGGGTGATGGTAATAGTGAGGACAGGAAGATCCATAGTGGGGGCACTGTATACACAATGAGATCCTCTCTCCAGGGGCGTCTGAAAGGGATATCCATGTGAGGGTTATAGATACGAATTGGAATAAACTGTATCCTCCCCAAAACTCACTTATTGAAGCCCTAACTCCCAATGTGACTGTTTTTGGAGACTGGGACTTTAAAGTTGTAATTAGAGTTAAATGAGGTTATAATTATGACACCCTAATCCCACAGAATGTGCCTTTCCAAGAAGAGGAAGAGACACTGGAGCTTTCTCTCTCTGAGGACATACAGAGAAAAGACCATGTGAGGACACAGTGAGAAGGTGGACATCAGTAAGCCAGGAAAAGCGGCCTAGCCAGAAACTGACCATGCTGGTACCTCGATCGTGGATTCCACCCTCTAGAACTCTGAGAAAATACACTTTTTTTTTTTTTTTTTTTTTTTGAGACGGAGTCTCATTCTGTCGCCCCCGCTGGAGTGCAGTGGCACAATCTCAGCTCACTGCAAGCTCCGTCTCCCAAGTTCACGCCATTCTCCTGCCTCAGCCTCCCGAGTAGCTGGGACTACAGGCACCTGCCACCACGCCTGGGTAATTTTTTGTATTTTCAGTAGAGACGGGGTTTCACCCTGTTAGCCAGAATGGTCTTGATTCCCTGACCTCATGGTCCGCCCGCCTTGGCCTCCCAAAGTGCTGGGATTACAGGCATGAGCCACCGTGCCCAGCCCCACACTTCTGTATTTTAAGCCACTCAGTTGGTGATACTTTGTTATGGCAGACCCGGCTGACTAATACAGAGGGTTTTGTTGATAGAAGTAAACCCTAAAAAACACATAAAGAGAAGCAAAAGCACTGAGAGAAAGTCTGAAGAAGCAGAAAGCCAGGAGCAGACAGGTGAGTAGAGCAGGAGCTTCTGCTTGGTAGTTTTGCAGGATGAAGCAGAAGTCACGTGGGTTCCCTGTAGAAGGGAGTTCTAAAGCATGTAATGATGGATTTCTGTTTCTGAGGAGGCTATTCTAGAGTTGTGATTGGATCAGCCAAACTGTTGTCCAACTACTATTATATCCTGAATCTATTTTCATTCCTGAAGTCTGTGTGGTAGCCAAGTTTGTTTCTTGTTTGCCTTGCTTGCCAATGTGGTATAACAGCCACGCCCCCACCCTCCTCTGGCATCAACTGGAATAGGCCTTTTCACTTGCACTCTAAAACTGCCAAACATCAAGAGTGGGAGGAAGAGATGTCAGGATGAGCAGAATGCAAATAATGACTGCAGACTCCAGAAATCTTGGGATGAGATGTTAACTATCCAAGATTTTATTTAAAAAATATGAACTGTAATACATATATAAAATATGAATATTTTAGCCATCCACATTATAATACCAGAAAACCTCTTGTGCACATAATGAGGGCCATCTATGTACGACAGGAAGTGTGGCATGATGCCGTCTCTAAATGAAGAGGGGCTCTTTTTAAAAAGGCACCAAAAAATCTGTTTTTATTCCTCTTTATAGCAAATTGGCTTAGTTTAAATGCCAGTCTATAAAAGGCTTCATCCACACTCTCAGTACCTACCAGTTGTGAAGAAAAGAATGAAGGAAACCACTGCGTGCACTTTTTTTCTCAGCACCTGCCAACACAGGGCTTGGGTTTTCGGACGGAATTTCATAAATGGAACAAATGAAGACTAATGATCCTTTCTTTATCTCTAAGCCATTATAGCGCCATCAAGTGGAAGACAAGATTATAGGATTTAGACAGTCCTTGCAGAGGAACTGGTAAGTAGATTATTCTTCTACCTGCTTAAGGATAGTTTCAATTTTGATCCGAGACACATCTGTGTGTGTCTGTGTGTGACACAGAGAGAAACCGTGTGGCAGTTCCTCCCTTTTGTCTTCTACATTAATGCATTCCACCTGTGCTTTTAACATCCAGATGCTATCATATTTTAATTATACTGATTAATGCCCGCATAAGAATTACAAATGGTAAACCAACCTTCCCTCAAATTAGCTTAGTCAATCTGTTTAAAGGCAGCACAGTGAAATAGAACACCAAGCTAATAACATATAAAAAAATGGAAAATTCTTCATTTGTTTCTGTTTGAGTTCTTTTAATTAAAGGTGACAAAACAGCCCTTTACTATCAGTGCAGCAAATGCAATATGCAAAGATGAATGCATTTACAGCTGTAGCTTGCATTGCTGTTTTAGCATTACTAACACTGTTGGGAAAACATCTGTGAAAAATAAGATGACAGGGAATTCTCATGATAAAACTGGAAAGAGATGTCAAAAGAAATATTGCCATCTCCATCTTTGGAGAGCTTCGTGAAGAGGATCATTGTGTGCTCTAGTTGCTCTGACCGGAGATTCCAACTCTACCCTGAAATATCTTACAGCATCTTTAAATATCTCTCTGATGGGTCTCTGGCAAAACAAAACAAAACAAGAAAACAGGCAGGGCGCTGTGGCTCATGCCTGTAATCCCAACACTTTGGGAGGCCGAGGTGAGTGGATCACCTGATGTCAGGAGTTCGAGACCAGCCTTGACTATGTGGTGAAACCCCCATCTCTACTAAAAATACAATAAATTAGCCAAGCATGTTGGCGGGCGCCTGTAATCCCAGCTATTCGGGATGGTGGGACAGGAGAATCGCTTGAACCCAGGAGGTAGAGGTTGCAGTGAGCCGAGATCACACCATTGAAGCCTGGGCAACAAGACCGAAACTCCATCTAAAAAAAGACAAAAAACAAAACAAAACAACAACAACAACAACAACAACAAAAACAAGAAAACAGAAAATCCTTTAACCTAAGTTACCAAGTAATTTAAGGTGAAATAATTTTCTCCTTGGCCACTTCTTGAAGAAAAGAAATATGAAACATGTATTAAAAAAAAAAAAAAATCAGGGCTTTATAACAACCCTGAAAAGACCAGGAACCATGAGTTAGTTGTTTTTCCTGAGTAAGGACATTGTGCAGCCGAGAGGTAAGGACTGCTTTTGGCACTGGTGACCTGCCCTGAGGCTTTTTCAGTCCATGATTGCCAATTCTTCCATCTAAAAATGGAGATCTCACCACTTCTCAGCATGTCATAAGGATTAAATGGCATAATATAAATGAAAGCATCTTGAAAATTTTTGTATATTGACCTATTGTGAGTCTGCAGAGATAAATATCCCAAAATATTTTTGTGCTCCAAAATATGAGAAGGTAAATACGGCTTTACAATTCCAGTTTTCTATCTTGCCTGCTTTATTATCTTCCCCTCGCCACCTTTTTTTTTTTTGAGACTTGCTCTGTCGCCCAGGCTGGAGTGTAGTGGCGCGATCTTGGCTCACTGTGAGCTCCGCCTCCTGGGTTCACGCCATTCTCCTGCTTCTGCCTCCTGAGCAGCTGGGACTACAGGCACCCGCCACCATGCCTGGTTAATTTTTTTTGTATTTTTAGTAGAGATGGGGTTTCACCATGTTAGCCAAGATGGTCTCAATCTCCTGACCTCGTGATCCGCCGCCTCGGCCTCCTAAAGTGCTGGGATTACAGGCATGAGCCACCGCGCCCGGCCTCCCCACTGGTTTTAAGCACTTTACCAAGAGCTTTCTGTTGAGACTGCATCAATGTCATGTAACAATTCCACACAAAACTTGTTTCCATGAGTCTGACGCTTCTGGACAAGGACAAGGTCATCAGTTTTGGGTGATAACTTCTGTAATATCATAAGACTATTGTTTCTAAGGTACCTACTAGTGGCAAATGTGTGCATGTGCGTGTGAGAGAGAGAGACAGAGAGAGAGAGAGAGAAAGAGAGAGACAGAAACCCTTTCGAGAAGGCCTCCTTAAATCAGGGATAAGGTTATTTCTGAGAATAAGATAAAAACCTAAAGATACCAGTGATGGCAAGCTTAACTGTGTGCCTAATATGCACCAGAACTAAACCTTAGAAAACAAAACTGAATAAAGCATATCCCTACCTATAAGGAGATTACAATGTCAAAGGGTAAAATGGATAATTAAACACAGTAATTATCACATAAGCACTATGATAAGGGTAACCGAGGCATTGAGTGATCATGGAAGGTTTCTCAATAAAGGTGCTACCTCGTGTAACTCCTTGATGGATGACAGGGAGATGGAAAAACATGAGGAGTAGGACAGTAAGAATGCAAGGAGCAGGAAATGGATTGGGGGAGAAAAGGGAGACCAGGAAAAGGGATGGCTAATGTAAGGCCCGTAGGTCCAAACAAACCAAAACAAAGGCATATTAAGGAATTTCATATATTCCAGAATGGCCAAGGATTTTAAGTGTAATTTTACATTGTGTATACATTTTCATATTTCTACTATATGCATATAGACAGCTACATCTTTATATACCTACTGCTTGGACCCAAAACCTGATTCATGGCTGTCAGTTCTTCCACATATAGGCAACAAGAAAAGGGCAAATACAACATGCCTGCAATGCTCAAACGGCTTCCTTCTGTTAAATGCAATCATGAAATGATACGGCTTAACATAAACTCATTGAAGCTTCATCTTTCAAGCACAATGTAAAGATTCTAGCTCTATTCAATCTCAGCTACAGGGCAATCACAACTGTAACTAACTCCTACGTCTTTCATCTTTTGACAATGAAATTAAAATATTGCTTCATGCTATAGTAGGAAAGAACACTCTAAAATAAATAATCCCAAAGTTGAAATAAAACTGAAAATAACAGCAGTGTCTTTCTGAGACAGTGGGGCAGCAATGTTAATGAACGGAAGCTTTGCTACAAACTGAACAAACACGCATTGATTTTGAAGGTATACGGAAAGACGACTCAGATAAGCTATAGACATCAGAAATTTAAGAATCAAAGCCAAAATGAGACAATTTAGACAAGGGGCATAACTATTTTTTTTTAAAGGTGGGGGATATGCAGAGAAAGTAAAGATGAAAGTTAGCATTCACTTGAGATACTCAATTACAGAAAAGTCATGGAAATCAAACATGCAAGATGTTTAATGCACAGAGTGAGATGAAGAAGGATCATTTTTAAACCTTAAATTCTCCCTGCTCTTAGTTTGGATAAAGAGGAATTCCTCAAGTCCTACGTTTTCAAAATTATGTCTCTTAAAGAATTAGTAGCTTTGCAAATCAAAGCAGGATTGGCTCTTATCATCTCAGTTTATCTCTGTCAGTGCTCCTGGTGGTGGTGACATGCTGGCCTCTCATATTTCTGTAAGCCTGGCCCTTTGGATTTTCCCACAGTATCAGCCTAAAAGGCCAAGGAGTTGTAAACCTGCTTTTAACTCTCCTTATTCCCTCCCACCACACACACACACACACACACACACACAAACAGGGTCTACCTGTCCCATGGCTTCCGAATTATGAAATGTGCCCCATTCAGTTCTTGCAACTCTTCCCACTTATCCACTCTGTTCATCCTCTCTGGGGAATCCAATCTTGACCCAAAGAGACCAAGTAATCTTTAAAATCAGAAACTGCTTTAATAACTCATTAGAGATAGATGACCATCTCTTATATCACTTGAGTCTTTCCTTTCCTCAGGCATTTCTAGATTTTGGGTCACCAAAACAACCCAACAGCCATCCACTCACTCCTCTCTACATAAACATAAATAAAATCAAAACCAAAAATAAAAGCAGCCAGGTGTGGTGGCAGGTACCTGTAACCCCAGCTACTCAGGAGGCTGAGGCAGGAGAATTGCTTGAACCTGGGAGAGAGAGGTTGCAGAGATATTATTTCTAGAGATTACTATATTATCCTCTGAGAAAACACACCTGCTTGTCCTTTGGAAGCAAAACCATAGTGTAAAATGCAGGTTGAGTATTCCTTATCTGAAATTCTTGGGATAAGAAGTGTTTCAAATTTTTGGTTTTTTTGGATTTCAGAATATTTGCCTATACATAATGTTCACATGGGAAATCTGGGCATGAGCAGAAAAGATATATCACAAATGAGGATGACTGGGAGGGTTTTCTTCCCCCTAAAGAATGCTGAATAAACTGTGTATTGTGTGCTTGTATTTTGACCGCAACTCATCACATTAGGTCAAGTGTGGGATTTTCCACTTTTGGCATCAAGTGGGTGCTCAAATCTTTGGATTTTGGAGCACTTCAGATTTCAGATTTTCAGATTAGGGATGCTCAACCTGTACTAGTAGCTGATTTTTAAGGTTTCCTTTGTTGGTAATTTTTATGGAAAGAAGAAAATCTCAACAGATGAAATAAACAGCAACTAAAAGTGGATTTATGTTGTTTTTTTTTTTCAGCAATAAGTAAATGCAATCAAAATGTTTTTTTTTTTTAAAAAAAAAGACTGTCAAAAGTAACACATGTAACTAAGAGTGAAATCTTTGGAGAGTTAGACTTTATAGCTCCAAGTGAATGTAAATGCTTTACTAACAGTGGAATTGGAAATTGGATAAGTTCCCTTGAGATAGAAATAGTCAAAATGCTACAGGAGATTCCAAACTGCTTGCTACAAAAAAAAAAAAAAAAAAATCCTTAGCTTTGACTATAAGTAGATCTCTAGTTCTTCTCCATACAGGAGATATGTGGTCTTCCATCCCAGGGAGAATAATGGTTAGGTTTCTCAACTCTCATAACAGAATGTCAACATCACCATCTGCTCATCTGGCTTTCAAAGGATGCATATGGGCTCATCTTCTCGCCCAGAATCTCCTCTTGCTTTGGGGCTTTTCCCTTCAGTTTGGTCTTTAGTATGTACTCCTAAGTTTGCCAAATGCACACTGGAGATCACAGAAGACTTTGCTGAAGAACAGCCCAGTAATGAGTTGAATTCTTATCTATTCAGAGGTTTCCGTGAAAAAATTCCTCTGCAGCGTATTCAAATTGTATAGCCGCAATTATACTCCCTGGCTGTGGTAATTTAAACGTTATTTTAAAATTAAGGCCTTTGTTAATAAATACTGTTTGCTTAAAGGTTAAAAGGTAGAATTATACCCTTCACACCAAATTGCAGTCTCCATGGGTCCTTATCTGCTTGTATTAATTCAAAGAGAAGATTCTGGGTGTCATCTGCCACTTAGAGCCTGAAGTAAACCTCTAAAAGCATACATTTCTGTTGTTGTTTCCATTCTACATGGGCTTAAAGTATGCTTTAGAAACATACATCACAACTGAGATGTGCGTGGGCATTATGAATAGTTAAGCAGGAGTGCAGAAAGCAATATGGACAGAAGAAACAAAATAATTTCCTAACATATAAATAAATTCAAAACCTACTTGAAATGTAGTATATCGGAAGAACATTAGTCAGGGTCTCTATAACTAATTAGCTTTGCGACTTTGGGTAAGACATAATCTCTCTGGATATTTATGTAAAGCTAGAATTATGTACGAGAAAACTACAGTTTAGAAGGAAAGAAAGTAATTACAAAGTAAAGACATTGAACATAAATCTTGAATTTTACCATTAATTGAATAATGGAAAGAAAATACAGACTATATTATTAACTTTTATTTGTCTATTTTCTCTATAAAATTTTCAATCCATGATTTAGAGATCATGTCCATCTTGATCACCACTTTATCTCTGGTGTCTAGTACAGTGCAGACTGACCATTTAATATATTTTGAAGGAAAGACCAAATGAGTTTTAAACATATTATCTAATACTATAATACTCTTATGGTCTCATTCTTCAGTTATTTGCTAATATAATAGATGCATTTGTATCCTCTGTAATATAAAAATAGGAAGGGATGGTATTGGTTGTAGTTGAATATTTAATGGGAGAAAGTTAAGCCTCAAATAAGAAATTTCCTGAAATATTACCAATGAGAAAATGGGTATAAAACCTTCCATTTTACCAAAAACAGAACTTTTTTTTTATCACAAGAGAAGGGTAAACGGTTAATTAAAAGCAAATTAGATGAAATAAGATGATACAAAGAAGGTATCCCATTTAATGAACATGTTAGATACTTTAGAGAATTTATTTAAATTTCTGAACAACTCTAAAAAATAAATCCAATATTAGTTTTAAATAAGAATAAATTAAAACATAGAAAAGTTAAGTGACTTATCCAAAGTAACATAAGCTGTAAGCAGAAGAATTGAGATTTGAGCACTGATATTACTGGTTCTAATGTCAGTTCTTTTTACAGTATCCATTTCACATTAATTGATAGTCTACCAACTACCAGATGTTTCACTGAGCACTCTTTAGGAAGGAAGGGAAATTAAATATTGGCATTAGTTAACGAGAGACATTTCTTTCCACCGAGTGTAAGTAATAGGATGAAGATACATTTTGAGATGATATGATTTATCCAGAAGAAAAAGCAAAGTTTGTTAGAGGTCTCCAATCTATGATAAAAGCATTGTGTAAAATACAAGAAAAGTAAATTTCTTAAGAGTAATGTTAGATGAAAGCCCATCATAGTTAATGGTATAAGTAAAACTGCATTAATTGTCAATGGTATGAAAATGTTCAGATAAATCATGCCAGGATAAAACAGAGGGCTTATAAACAAGTCTTCCAGTTGGGTGGTCATCAAAAATGTATGAATATCCACTGAGTTAAAACTACTTACTCTTTGGCTTTGCCATCTTCATGTTTAGTGAAGGGAAGCAGGGCGATTTTTGGTGTAACGTTCCGCTTAACCTTCACTAAAGGGTTAATCAAGAACCATTACTCTAAAAACTCAAAACAATTCTGCAAGCCTTTATAATGCCTAGTTTATCCCTTAATTTTATTATCATGGGAATTAACAGAAAATCCTCCCAATACAAAATAAAGTGTGTTCTTTCAAAGATATACAGAAAGAGGCAGCTGAAGAGATGTTTCTTCCTCACATTAGCCTTGGGCAGGGTAAACAGAAGATAAAAATCCAAAGGGACATACTGAGTAAGAATAGCCATTGAATGATAGGAAGAAAACCTAAATTCCTTGGTCTTGTGGACAAAATAGAAACAGGAATGCAAAAAGAGCCTGGAACCCCCAGAGGACCCTCAGCATGAGCAGCAGAATTATCCACAATGATTCTCATGCATTTGTACTTTTTTTAATCAGCAAAATTTAGCAGCTTATATTTCAATGAGAGACAGCAATGTTTTCACTGGGGGGCAATTCTGAACCACAGGGGACATTTGACAATGTTTGTAGACATTTTTGTTTGTTACAAGTGGAGTGGTGGTTGCTTTGGGTATCTATTAAAAATAGGTAGAAGCAGGGAAGCCGTTAAACACCCTAAAATTCACAGGACATTCCACCACAGCAAAGAATTAACTAGCCCAGAATGCCAATAGTTCTGAGGCTGTGAAACCTTGGAGTAGAAGGAGAATCAGCATCAAACCCTTTTTCATAGGCATTTTTCAGGTTTCTTTGTTACATCCGACTGAAACAGGCTTGACTAGCAAATTTCAAGAGTGACCTTGTTTCAAGGTGCATCATTTGTCGGCATCAAATTCACATCCTCTTTCTTATTTAAAATCTACCATTAGTTATTTCTCCCTCAAAAGGCTTCTACAATTTAACAGTGAGGACATGTTATGGCTGTGAAATAGATGTCCCTATCATACTGCTTTAGATGGGAAAAGAAACATTCTGCAGTGTTTATAAGTCATAAAGAATTCTAAATATCTCCCACTCAACACATTCAGGCAAAATGATGGTATAATTTCTGTGCTGGGTAGCACTCTTTCATACCATTATGTGTCGTGTGAACCAACTGTAGGTAATGCACTATCTTCCTTTAATCAAATCTGCATTGTAATTTCTATAAAAAAAATCAATTAAACACAAGGAGCAATTACTTATTTTTTATCACAGCATAATTTACTTTCCCAGAACAGCAGCATGAAAATGTGAAGAAAGATCTCATCTACCTCAGTGTATTTAAAGTATGCATATTTTTAAATAAATGCGAATGGAACACTGTCAAATAAGCAATATATTATCTCTATATAATTCCCCATTTACATCAACTTTATGGATGGGTAATATGGCTTAATAGCAAAAGCTTAAGATATCTTTTTGAAACACAATTTTTTCATAGTCAATATTATGGCTGAAAACATTTTTCAGACTCTTACAGTGAAAATATAATTAGACAACAATTTGCTCATCAACCTCATCAAATCACTTTCATAAATGACCTACTTAGGTGTCAAATAAACCTAAAAGAACTATATTTTTTCCAAGCCTTACAAATCCATCCTTGTTTACATTTCCCTACCTATCTCTGTGCATTACTATCAAGGAATTTTGTTAACTACATGCTTAGTAGTTAGTAGGAGATCATGGAGCTAATCTAGCATCCTTACATCTGGGACCTGTAGTCTTTTCAGTGAAATCTATTTTACACTGAGCATCAGGAGTTTTTTAACTTTATGTAGATAAGATTTACCTGGAGGGTTTGGTAAGTAGGTTTGGAGAGCCCCCACATTTACATTTTAACAAGGTCTCATGTGATGCTGACGCTTGACCCATAGGTCTGGAAACTACCCAAGAATTTAAAAGACCCAATTTTCTTCATGATTCAGTAATCTGTATGTGCTCTTAACCACTGTGTCAGCGGCATCAGTTTATTTTTTCTCCCTTACTTTTATGTTATCAACCTCTGTGCTCATCAGTTAAACTAAAAGATCAATCCACTCCAACCTGGAAGATTGCATTTTCTTTCCTTCTTTTCTTGCCTCTTCCTGCTCCTCCCTTTCCTTTCTTTCTCCTCCTCTTTCTTCTCTCCCTCTTTCTCTCTCTTTCACCCCCTTCCTCACTCCCCAATTCCCTCCCTCCCATATAATTCTGTAACTCTGATCTCTTTCAAATCCAGATGTAAATCTCACTTTGGCTGTGAAATCATCTCTGATTTACCCCAGTTGATACACAATTCTCCTCCATGTGGAACTGCTCAGTACTTATGAACTCACTTTTATTAGACTTGTTTGTACTCCTTGCTTCATTAATTAGTAAATTAAAGCCTTTGTGTATCCCTATGGTGCATGGTCTTAATTATATTATTATACTATTTGTTACATGCATTTTTTTTTTCCTTTTTATAACAATGCCTGCTGGAATGATTGGCTCACAATCAGTGCATAATAAATATTATTAGCCCAATAATGTACTGAGTCAGGGGCTGCAAAGCAGTATTTCATCACGCAATGACCCAAGGTTCACAAGAAATCTAATTAGTGCTTCAACTAAAGCCACCAGTCAAGTCTGGGGGAAACTGGCTCCAAATCACAATGCTGCTTTAGTTTCCTCAGTAGCTGCTGATATTATCCTATTAATGGGGGAACTTTATGGAAGAATTATTAAATAGGCTTGGTCTGGTTGCTAGGCTGTCTGCGTGACTATAACAGGGATTCTCAGAAGCCATGTTAAGCATGTTCAAATACTCCTAAAATGGCTGCTGGTGATAGAGAAAGTAGAATTCTCCAAAGTTAATTTTTATACTTCTTTAAAAGCCTGGTTTGCTCTAAAGGAACTCATAAATGAGACATATTTTAACCACTTCATCATATTTGTTGGATCACTCTGTTCTGAACATAAGCAATTTTGGAATGAAGGCCTTCTGGCCACACGGGTAATATATGTGTTGCAAAAAGTGG